>NC_000001.11:243002303-243153818 GCF_000001405.40 Homo sapiens | reverse complement strand
ATCTACAGTAACACCTCGAAGATAGTACAGGTTTGGTTTCAGACCGCTATAGTAAGGCAAATATCTCAAAGCAAGTCACACAGTTTTTTTTTCCTAGTGCATGTAAAAATTATGTTCACACTATACTGTGTGCAGTAACACTGCTTCTTAAAAAAAGTATATACCTAAACAAGTAAATATTTTATTAGTAAAAAACAGTAGTGATCATCTGAGCCTTCAGTAAGTCATCAGCTTTTTGTTGGCATAGGGTCTTACATCCCTGCTGATGACTGTGGACTTATTCAAGGGCAGTGGTTGCTGAAGGCTGGGATGACTGTGGCGATTTCTTAATTAAAAGAAGACAACAGTGAAGTCTGCCACGTTGATTGACTCTTCCTTTCATGAAAGATTTCCTTGTAGCAATGTGATGCTGTTTGATAGCATTTTACCCAGAGTAGAACTTCTTTCAAAACTGCAGTCAGTCCTCCCAGACCCTGCCGCTGGCTTATCGACTGAGTTTATGTAATATTCTGAATCCTTTGTTGTCATCTCAACAGTGCTCACAACAGCTTCACCAGTAGATTCTATTGCAAGATACCACTTTCTTTTCCCATCCATAAGAAGCAACTTCTCATCTGTTAATGTTTTATCACGAGATTGCAGCAATCCAGTCCCATATTCAGGCTTCACTTCTAACTCTAGTCTTTCTAGTTCTGTTTCTGTTTCCACCATATCTGCAGTGACTTCCTCCACTGAAGTCTTGAACCCTCAAAGTCATCCATGAGGGTTGGAATCAGTTTCTTCCAAACTCCGGTTAATCTTGATATTTTTACCTCCTCCATGAATCACAGAAGTCCTTAATGGCATGTAGAATGGTGAATCCTTTCCAAAAGATTTTCAGTTTACTTTGTCCAGATCTATTAGAGGAATCATTACCTATGACAGCTATGTCTTGCAAAATGTTATTTCTTAAATAAAGGAATACATTTTCTGCTTAGAAGACAAAACGGGCCAGGCACGGTGGTTCACGCCTGTAATCCCAGCACTTTGGGAGGCCGAGGCAGGCAGATCACGAGGTCAGGAGATAGAGACCATCCTGGCTAACACGGTGAAACCCCGTCTCTACTAGAAATAGAAAAAATTAGCTGGGCATGGTGGTACGTGCCTGTAGTCCCAGCTACTCGGGAGGCTGAGGCAGGAGAATTGTTTGAATCCGGGAGGCAGAGGTTGCAGTGAGCCGAGATTGTGCCGCTGCACTCCAGCCTGGGTGACAGAGCGAGACTCTATCTCAAAAAAAAAAAAAAAAAAAAAAAAAAAATGGCTGGGCGCGGTGGCTCACGCCTGGAATCCCAGCACTTTGGGAGGTTGAGGCGGGTGGATCACGAGGTCAGGAGATTGAGACGATCTTGGCTAACATGGTGAAACCCCATCTCTACTAAAAATACAAAAAATTAGCCGGGCGTGGTGGCGGGCGCCTGTAGTCTCAGCTACCCTGGAGGCTGAGGCAAGAGAATGGCGTGAACCCAGGAGGCGGAGCTTGCAGTGACCCGAGATGGCGCCACTGCACTCCAGCCTGGGCGACAGAGCGAGACTCCGTCTCAAAAAAAAAAAAAAAAATCAAAATGGCTCCTTGATCCATGGGCTGCAGAATGGATGTTAGCAGGTATGAAAGCAACATTAATCACCGTGTACATCTCCATCAGAGCTCTTAGGTAACCAGGTACATTGTCCATGAGCAGTAATATTTTGCAAATAATCATTTTTTTCTGAGCAGTATGTCTCTACAGTGGTCTTAAAATATTTAGTAAACCACACTGTAAATATGCCATAATCCAGGCTTTATTGTTCCATTTGTAGAGCACAAGCAGAGTAGATTTAGCATAATTCTTAAGGGCCCTATGACTTTTGGAATGGAAAATGAGCATTGGCTTCCAACATAAAGTCACCAGCTACATTAACCCCTAACAAGAGAGTCAGCCTGTCCTTTGAAGCTTTGAAGCTGGGCATTGCCTTCTCTCTGGCTCTGAAAGTCCTAGATGGCATCTTCTTCCAATAGAAGGCTGTTTTATCAACATTGAAAATCAGTTGTTATTATAACCATCTTAATCAATTATCTTAGCTAGATCTTCTGGATAAGTTGCTACAGCTTCTATATCAGCACTTGCTGCTTCTCTGTGCACTTTCATGTTAGGGGGATGGTTTCGTTCCTTAAGCCTCATGAACCAACCTCTGCAAACTTTTCTTCTGCAGTTTCCTCACCTCTGTCAGCATTCACAGAATTGAAGAGAGTTCAGATTTTGCTCTGGATTAGTTTGGCTTAAGGGAATGTTGTGGCTGGTTTGATCTTCTATCCAGACCACTCAGACCTTGTCCATATCAGCATTAGGCTGTTTTGCTTTCTTATCATTCCTGTGTTCACTAGAGTAGCACTTTTAATTTACTTCAAGAACTTTTCCTTTGCATTCACAACTTGGCTGTATGGCACAAGAGGCCTAGCTTTTGATGATTGCCAGAATAGTAAGACAGAATTTAAAATGGTTCCATGGTTGATCAGATGGGAGATTAGTGGGAGTAGGGAACACAAAAGGCATGGGAAAAGAAGATAGGTTGTATTTTGGTCATACTGACACCAACATGCCTAAAGGATAGCCCTGTGAAAAAAGCTAGCAGACAGTTGAACTGCGGCTGTGAAACAGGAAGCCGTGAGGGCTAGACTCATCGTTGTAGTCATTCGTAAAGAGTAAATACTTGGAGCTATTGTAGTAGATGGTATCACCACGGAATGGTGAGGGAGCTGCAAATGCGGCTGAACTCTGAGATAACCTCAGTGACAGGGATGTGGTGTAGCTGAATGGTGAAGAATATGGACTCTGGACTCAGACCATATTCTTGGTCTGAGATTCAAACCCAACTCGACCACAAGGTCTGTGTGACCTAGGATGAGTTAATTAAATGTGTTCTAGTGATCTCATCGGTAAAATGGACGTAATGGTGCCAACCTGAGAGAGTCGACAAGTTGATGCACATACTTAACCTAGTGCTTGACATATAGTCAGTAGTCAATAAATGTTATATTTAAGAGGGATACAGAGAAAACCGTGGTTTATGATTATAGTTAGAACTTTATTTGGAGCTTTTAATTTTGTGTAGATCTCACACGTTTAAATTTATGAGAATCCAGATATAATTGGAATTTCAGAATCAGCATTACATTCTACAGTTTATAAAATGCTGGGCTTACCTTATTTGTGCTTAAGAATCCCAGCCAATGCTTTGTTCAAATTTCCGTCCAAACTTATTTATTAAAAAATTTTTTGTCCTCCTAGTAAAAACAGTGGTATATAAGTAGTTTGTTTTTTAATATTAAAGTGATCGTTAAATAGCTGTGTCAGCTGGGCGGGGTGGCTCACGCCTGTAATCCCAGCACTTGGGAGGCCAAGGCAGGCGGATCACCTGAGGTCAGGAGTTGGAGACCAGCCTGGGCAACATGGTGAAACCCCATCTCTACTAAAAATACAAAAATTAGCCGGGTGTGATGGCATGCACCTGTAATCCCAGCTACTCGGGTGGCTGAGGCAGGAGAATCGTTGAAACTTGGGAAGCGGAGGTTGCAGTGAGCCGAGATCACGCCACTGCACTCCAGCCAGGGTGACAGAGCGAGATTCTGTCTAAAAAATAGATGTATCACGGAACACCTATCAGTCTCGTTCCCTGATTTGTTGGCCCCAAATGAAACTCACTTGGCATTGTAAGACAAAAAGCTTTTATTATTACTAAGTCTTTTACACATAATTTTATTAGTGAAATTCAAGTAAAAAGAATACTGATCAAATATATTTGAAAACATTTTAAAATAGAACTGTGGTTTATGTTTTTCAAAGCCTAAAATATGTACAGTTAAAGTTATGAATGAGTGATAATCTTAACAGTAAAAAACCAAATTACTTGTAATTTTACTACATTATTAAAAGCTTTGTGCTTTTATTGTTTTGTTGGTAGGAACCAATTTAATTTAGTTGTCAGAATTCAATGGTGTGGGTTTTCTTATTGTCTGTAAGGTAATATAATGCTTTTCTGTGTATTGCAATTCAGCTAACAAGTCTTCAATTATAATATAATTGAAGGATATACTACATTTTGGGTTGTAATTGGAGGTGAGCTTTGATAATACCAAAATGTTTTTTGTTTTGGAGAAAATATTATGGATATAAAAACTACCCTAATCAAGCAATAAGGCATATCTGCCAAGTCAGTTTGAAGACATCATTTGTGGATTGATAATATCTCAAGTCTAGGCCCTGTTATTTTGTTGGGCTAGGTCAGATCCAAACAGCAAGAGTAGGGAAATAAACCACCTGCCCACAGGTTCAGATGACAGTGATTCTTCAGTTTCTCTGTAGTTTTCCACATTTCCTAGAACTTCATTATTCCTTCCTCATAGTCTGTACCTAAGTCTCTAAAAATACTCTGGCTATCTCAGGTCTTGTTTATTGAGTAAATACTTTGCTGTCAGATGGCGTCAGACCATCTTCTTTTAACCTGCCGATTTTGTCTCTGGTGGAGATAGCATAGGTTTGCTAAAACCTTTAAAGTTATCCTCTTAATTACATCTTTATTTGTGACTGCCTCTGCTTATCTGAAGCATATTCATCAGTCTAGTTTCGAGACTAGAATCTTTCTACATTTTACCAAATGTAACTTATCTGTAGCGATAAACATTTCATTCACAATAATGGGAGGTGCCTTTAAAAAAATTAAATCTCTATCTCTTTTGATGGCTAGAAGTAGACTCCATGTACTTTATTCAAACTGCTTTTCTAATCAGGCCACTCATTAAATTGCTCTTGCTGCCCAAAAGAAACCTCCAATTTCAACTCATTATTATCCCATCCTAAATCTTTTGTGGCTCAGTGTAACTCTTTCCCAGTTCTCCATACTTTTGTTGCATAAAGAATGGGGTTTGCCAAATTTTTTTCATTAAGGTCTTCTATTATTGAATCAAAATGCCACTAACATCTAACAAATTAACTGACAGTTTCCACTGATGGAAGAGAAAGATCTTTCCTTATCATTAGGAAACTTTTTTTTGTGAACCTTCTTTATAGTTGGTATGTAAGTCAAATATATGAGTTAATCAATACATGAATTAAACTTTGAGCCTCTTGCCTGGACTTCTTATTCTTTATTGTACTGTGAGATCATGGAATCATTCATAACTATTGCTTTGTAAATACTAAATAAATTTTTAAAATTATGTTATTTTATTTTGAGACAGAGTCTCACTGTCACCCAGGCTGAAGTGTAGTGGCGCGATCTCAGCTCACTGCAACCTCTGCCTCCCAGGTTCAAGCAATTCTTGTGCCTCAGCGTCCTGAGTAGCTGGGATTACGGGTGTACACCACCATGCCTTGCTAATTTTTTTTGTATTTTTAGTAGAGATGGGGTTTCACCATGTTGGCCAGGCTGGTCTCAAACTCCTGAGCTCAGGTGATCCGCCCACCTCGGCCTCCCAAAGTGCTAGGATTACAGGCATGAGCCACCGCGCCCAGCTGATACTGATACCAAATAAATTTTGTTGAATAAATGATGCCTAGAGTCTTCCCAAATTTGTCTATGTCTCCTTTGTTTTTTGTTGTTGTTGTTTTGTTGGATTTTTTTTGAGACAGAGTCTCACATTCTGTTGCCCAGGCTGGAGTATAGTGGCATGATCTCGGCTCACTGCAACCTCCACCTCCCAAGTTCAAAGGATTCTCCTGCCTCAGCCTCCCGAGTAGCTGGGACTACAGGCGCATGCCACCATGCCTGGCTAATTTTTTGTAAAAGTAGAGACAGGGTTTCACCATGTTGGCCAGACTATTCTTGAACTCCTGACCTCAAGTGATCCACCTGCCTCAGCCTCCCAAAGTGCTGAGATTACAGGCGTGAGCCACTGTGCCCAGCCTCTTTTGTTTTTTAAAAGATACCTAGCTCGTTATCAGTAGGCCCTGAATAGTTTAAATGCTTAAGATTCCAAATTGAAAATTTTTAAGTCAAACTCTAAAAATTTTTACGTAGAAGTTCCTTGTCTTAGCCCCATTTTTACCTAGCTACAGTTAATTTTTTTGGGAAAAAAATTAGGATGTGAGAAATTGTATTTCTGTTTTATCATAATAGCATTATTCACTGTATAAGATACAGTCATCCAGTAATGAAACATTTCAAGGATCCATATATGGAAGTCAGTATTGCTTGTTTATATTCACACCTGCATATGTTGATTTCATTATACAATATTTTACCTCATTTTGAAAGTCATGGTTTAAGATACAGAACTCATGTGAATCACATTTCTAGGAAACCTTAAGTGAATTTCTTAAGATCTGCTTGAGCTGTTTACAGTGGTAACACATCTGTATGAAAGGCATGTCAAGAAGAACTGAAGATGAGATGTGGCTTCACAACAAGCCAAAGGCTGTATTAAAATTATGTGCTGTCTAATAAAAAAGAAAGAAGATATCCAGTTAAGTGGCAGAATAGCATAAATGTGGTTATGTTCATTGCTTTTAACAGCTGAGAAAAATAATCTTGAATAATGGGCCAAAACCAGGAAAAGGCTTCAGGGGAAAATGTAGTTACAAGTATTTACAAGGCATGTACATTTTTTAAAATTATAGCCTTATCACATTAAAGCCACATCTGGGTACTTTTTTATATACTAATAAAAATACTGTATTTTTATTTGTAGGCAGTGTAGTAATAAGAATACTGTCTTTTATTTGGAGATAGCATTTCCAAGTATGTATTTGACTTTGCTAAGCATTCATGCTTCGTAGCCAATGATACTGAGCATTCCATCTGGAGTGCCTCTAGATGGGGGATTCACAATTGGTCTTTACTGGTTAGGGGGGATTCACAATTGGTCTTTACTGGTTAGGGGGGATTCACAATTGGTCTTCACTGGTTAGGGAACATCTAGAACTTTTTGCTCATGCACAAAGTAAAAACCTTACATGTGCTGTTATATAAGTCCCGTTGGTGCCTGCATTCGTGTACTTTTTAACTTGACTTCTTACCGCCTCTGTGTGCTAGTATAGGGTCTCTTACAAGTGTACTTTTTCCTGCATTGTATAAGCAATGAGAATTTTAAATGAAGTGAAGTTAATTTGCTAATATCTCGGGTTTTTTTTTTTTTTTCTTCCCATGCCTTGTAAACCTTGAACCACTATACTTGTTCTATTTGAGGTGCAGGGGAGAGCATGAGTGAGTAATCACTTAGAAGGAAAAATACAAGCTAAACCAAATACTTAATGAAACAAAATTTGTTTTTACCCATGGAAATAAAAAACATTTTTTAGCCACATGCTTATGAATTTTTACTTTATACCTGCCTTTGAAATTTTGGGGCCTGATACAGGATCCTTGACTCTTTAAAAATAATATGGCTCTTCATTATTTGGCTGACTGGCTTTTATACCATTAGAAGGAATTGGGAAGGAGAGGGGTCGCTAATCTCTTCTGCGTTCTTCGCGAATCTCATTCCCGTGACCTCTGTTCAGATTAAAAGTCTCCCTGGTGCATCCTATTATAAATCATACTTTTTTATGAATCGCTGACCATATTTGTCACCATTGGGGAGGCAAATAAACCTAAAACACAGAGCCTGTGTTCCAAACGAGTTCATAATTTATACAAGGATTAAAAGCTAATTCATATCATTCTTACACCTTTACATCCTCACAGCTTAGCTCCCACTTACAAGTGAGAACATGTGGTGTTTGATTTTCCATTCCTGAATTACTTCACTTAGAATAATTGACGTTAGACTTTTTTTTCCTTATATTTTCTTTTTCCAGTTTTCCTGAGTACCTTTCATTTGATATCCCCTCTTTCCTCTTACAAAACTTTTTTTGCTTACTAAACTCTTCTAGATAGTGTGGAAACCATGAGCTTTTCTGGAATGACCCTTAAATGTCTCTCCTTAAACTCATTTTACATTTTAACACTTCTGGTCATTTACAAACTAGACTAAATTATTTCTTGAAAGCTGAGTCATTACAGTTATGATCTCTTAGCCCATGTTAAAGTAACAGGAGGTTTGACTTGCGGTCATAAGCTTTGGTTTTAGGATTCTAAAGCTAGTATACTTCATTAATAGCCCACCAGTTGCTTTTTTCCAGTAATATCAAAGGAAACTTAATTCCAGAGGTTCATGTGTGTATCCTCTGGAAAGTTTTACATGTAAAAACGTTTGAAAATGAATGTGCTATCAAAAAATAGGGCAAATTTTTGGCTGGGCGTAGTGGCTCACGCCTGTAATCCCAGCTCTTTGGGAGACCAAGGCGGGCGGATCACAAGGTCAAGAGATCGAGACCATCCTGGCCAACATGGTGAAACCTCATTGCTACTAAAAATACCAAAATTAGCCGGGCGTGGTGGTGCACGCCTGTAATCCTGGCTACTCGGTAGTCTGAGGCAGGAGAATCACTTGAATCCAGGAGGCAGAGGTTGCAGTGAGCTGAGATTGCACCACTGCACTCCAACCTGGCAACAGAGTGAGAGTCCACCTCAAAAAATAATAATAAGGCAAATTTTTAAATAGCTAATTTAAAACAATGTTTTGTTGGCAGTTTAAATCAATGAAGTCTGATAGTTTGTTTCTACTATAGTTGTAATAATATATAATCTTGCAAAGATTGTGTGTTTAATTGGGTATACACATAACTAGAACTCTAATTTTTAATATATCCTTTAATCTTCCAATATACCCAAATGTACAATTATTTTTTCCAGTATACAACCCTTCAGTGAAAAAAAAGTGTTATGACTGAGATAATTTACATAGGAAAATTATAAACTTTATGACTTAAAGTACATTTCTCATGTTATCTCACCATTTTTTCTTAAGTAATGCATACTTATTTCTACAGAATTGTTGAAATTGAGTCAGTGGTTCTGACACTTGGGAAAACATAAAGACTAGGACTAATGCTAGAGAACTGAACCCTTCTGTTTTGTTCCTTCAGCACTATTTTCTTATCCATATTTTGTAATAAAATGGAATTAAATGTGAAAATATCTATTAGGTTTTCAAATCAACAATATATGTTGTATATACGTTAAGAATTGCTCATTTTAATACATATTTTACTATATCACATGTGGAGATTGCTGTTGTCCATGTTTTTTCTAATTAATTTATACTGTTTTCCACAAATATTAGAAACTTCATTGTACAGATCGTCTGCATAAAAAATCCTTAATGAAAAATAGAGTTTTGGATACAATGATGCTTATCTGTATTTTATCTCATTAAGCTTGGTTATTCTGTTTCTTATTCTAGTTCATTTATTTTGGGGAATTGCAAGGATTTGCTATATTATATAAGGGAACACTTTAAACACATTTCAAAAGAATCACATCAACAGTTAATATGTTTTAAAAAATTATATATGGAGCAATCATGTGAGATGTAGCATGACATAGTGAAAAGATCTAGTTATGGCACTTAACTATGTGTGACCTTGGCCAAAAAAATGGTCGCATGTCTTCTCCTGTGCCTCATTTTCCTCATCTGTAGAACAAGATGATTAATACTTCTCTTACAGAGTGGTTGTGGGAATTAAATGAGTTGAGGACTATGAAGCTGCTTTATAATGTACTCATCATATTATAATGGTGCCTTCTGTGTATTCTAAGCTTCATGGGGACAAGGACCCTGTCTGCTTCTTCATTGCTGTAGTCTTTAGGACTTAGCACAGTGCCTGGCACATCATAAGCAATCAGTAAATATTTGTTGGTGTTTTTCCTGCCTCTTTGTGTTGATAAATAAATGAGGAATTAACTGACGTTTTTACAAAGTTTATATATTGACCATAAATTGGTTCTGTTGGTCCATAAACTTCAACTTAGTTCCCTTTTTAAATCTAAATTTTTATGTAATTACTAATGTGCTTGAAAGTCTTTCAAACTCACATTTTGCATAAGTTTAAAAAATGTTACTTTAAGCCAGGCATGTGTCTGTAATCTTAGCTATTTGGGAGGCTGAGTCGGAGGATTGCTTGAACTCAGGAGTTCGAGACCAGCCTGGGCAATATAACCAGACCTCCTAGGCTCTTTTTTTTTTTTTTCTTTTTAAGTTACTTTGTATTTCCTTTGGATTTTGAAGTTGCAGAAACTTTCATATATACTTTTAATAATATTCTGTCATTCCAAAACCTTCCCTGTGGAAATAGCCACATCGAGTTTATGGGCAGTAGATGCAGCTTGGAAAACGTTAATGTCTTATTGAAATGAAATGTTTCTCAAAAAACAAGAATATCAGTGGTAGGTTTTGTAAGTTTGTCCCTCTTAAAAAAAACTCTAAAAGAAAAATCTCTATTTTCACCTTTGATTATCACAGGTAACAGTTATTTAGTTCTTCAGTCCATGTAGGTAAAAATGCAAATGGCTTTATGGAAATGAGTACTAAAGCTTGGATCCAGTCCTGCCTTAGCTACATCTAAAGGTGTGATCATGAGCAAGCCATTCAGGTTCTCTGAGATTGTGATAAAGTCAGATGAATCCTACCTCAAAAGAACTTTGTGGGCCTCAAGTGACATAACATGTACTAGAAAGTGCTGTGCATAGTGTAAAGTGCTCTACGAAAGAGTGCAGGGTTCTTAATTTCTTGGTACTGTAGACCCCTTTGCCCATTTTGTGAAGCTTGTAGGGCCCTTCTCAGGTGTAAACATAAAAGAATTACAAAGAAATCCAATTATATTGAAATTCAGTTATCAAAATATTTGAAAGTAAGAGTAATTTATGGTTCTTTATTAACATTAAATAAAATGTTATTATTGTGTGTTTAATGACTTCAGTAGTTTTGAAGCAGTGATGACCATAAATGATGTTTAAATATACCCGTAGCAACTGTAATGTGATCTCTATTGATGACAAAAATCACCAGTATTGCTAATACCACTGTGATTTGTTGCCTGTATTTATAATTGAAAGAAATGCTAAGCGTCACTTAGAG
This sequence comes from Homo sapiens, assembly GCF_000001405.40. Taxonomy (NCBI): domain Eukaryota; kingdom Metazoa; phylum Chordata; class Mammalia; order Primates; family Hominidae; genus Homo; species Homo sapiens. The sequence continues at coordinate 243,142,846 of NC_000001.11, read as the reverse complement.
GTTAGTGAATACATTGTAATTGTTTTTTCTCATTTAAGTTCATGAACTGCTTGAATTCTATCCATTATTCCCCAAGTTTAAGACCCCTGTGATGTATTAATGCTAGTCATTAACACAGTGTGTGTTAAGGGCATAGCTCTACTCAAGGGCTTTTAAAGTACATTTTTCAAGGTGATATCTTGTAGGTTATTTGGAGTTTAGTTTCATTAATCTTAATTTTGGAATTAAGGTTTAAGACTGATTATCAAAATAGTTAATAGTTAATTTGGGGTACAAATATTTAATTAGATATACAACTTACATGACTGATTATCTCATAAATGATTGTTTTTAGAGCTGTTTATTTAAAAGGGATTAAACTTCTTTTCTAAAATTATTACCAGGATCAGCCAAGATCTTGCTCTCATTGCTCGGGAGATCAACGATGTAGCAGGAGAGATAGATTCAGTGACTTCATCAGGCACTGCCCCTAGTACCACAGTAAGCACTGCTGCCACCACCCCTGGCTCTGCCATAGACACTAGAGAAGAGGTAGGAGATCTTCATGGAGAAATGCATAAGGTTCTTTCTTTTCTTTATTTCTTTTGCTTTTAGCTTTTTGCTTAGTTTATTTCAGTTATGTCCACCCTCCCTGTTTGCATGAAGCTCTGCATTTTCCAACTTTGCTTTAACAGTTTATTTTATGTTTTTGTAACAAAACTAGTGAAGGCTAACATTTGGTCTACTATTAACACGAAGCTGGAAAATTCTTTAGAAACAGCATTTTGCCTGCTAATTCTTGGTCCATAGCTTCACTTGAAACATGAATATAAATGGTATTTTGAAAAGCAACCCAAAATTTGATAAATGATGGTATAAAGTTTCTATAAAGTTTGACTATGAAAATGCTCCAATTAAAAATATTTTTATCACTAGTTAACTAGAAGATACTCTGATAACAAAGAGAAAAATCCTACAGTTTCACTGCTTTAATAATTCTGTTGATAAATACAAACACATACACATAAAGATATTTTGAAAAATTGAAATACATATGTAATATACACACATATAAATACATATTCAGAACATTTTCATAAAGTCTGGAATGCAAGTTACCATGTATAGACTATTACCCATCCAATATCAGGGCCTCTTACAGTATAACTCCAGGAGGCACCATTTGCATAACATTGCTCCAGACAGCACCTTTAACATGTAATACAAAATTAATGGTACTCTTTGGCCATGTTGGCTGCTTTGATTTGGGGCAGAAATGTAAGCAAAGGATTGGCATTTAAAAGAATGAACTTCTGTGTTTGGAGGTTGGCAAACTGGCCTTGCTGCCAGTTTTAATACAGACCAAAGAACTAGGAATGGTTTTTACATTTTTGAATGGCAGGAAAAAACATCTAAAGAATACTAATTCGCAACATGAAAATTACATGAAATTCAAATTTTGGTATTCATAAATAAAGTTTTATTAGAACACAGCCACACTTATTTAACTATCATCTATGGCTGTTTCTTTGCTACAGGGGCAGAACTGAGTAGTTGAGACAGAGATTGTATGGCTGCAAAGCCTGAGGTTTTATTATCTGTCTCTTTATAAATAAAAGTTTGCCAGCCCCTGGTATTGATTATTCTGCTTCTTCAATTTTACAAGATAATCCTAAATAGTAGGCAAAAATGGCTAGCCTTTTTGACAAATTTAATTGTGGTAAACTGTGCTAATAATATTTTCTTCATTTGCTTTTTGTCACATTCTTTAATCTGATTCTTTAATGGTCACTTTTTTGTTTGTTTTCCTTCAATGTGTTGTTTAACTTAATAAATGATACTTCATCAATCTGTGTAGAGTTTTGTTACCACATTGATCAAATGTAACTGTAAATGAAATCATCCTTATTGATGAAAACCTTAAGGATCGTCCTGGTGGCAAGACATACACAATTCTTCTGGTACATTTAAAATGTTGAAGATATTATTTTCTCAGCTTTCTAACTAAATTTTACCTAACATGATTATACATTCACTCAGACCCAGTAAAATTACTTAAACATTTCATTGAATAAACTTTATTTTCTTTTTGTTTTATTTCAGAATATTGTACTAGGTTGAGTCCCTCTTCAGTAAACCCGAGTTACTTAGTATTGTATGTCTGTGATTTGCACTATAGATGGCAGTATATCATTTCTATTAGAATGTGTAACTTCTATAGCATTGTTAAAAGTTTATTTGACTAAGATCAAAATATTTATTTTGTGGATTAAAAAATATTTTCCTTTTGTAAACTTAATTGGAATTTGCAATTTATGTATCTTGTGAAGAAATTTGACACCTGGATTTGGGGAGGAAAAAACAAGATAGGAAACTAAAAGAAAAAGAAACATTATTTTACACTGGTAAGGCAATGTGAGTAAAATGAACTCATTGTCCATCTACATGGCTCAGCTTTTTTTCTATTTACCATCTGTTTTCCATTTGGAGAAAATCTTATCCATGGAAGAATTAAATTTAACATAGTTATATATTTTGGATTTTGAAAATAAAACCTGTGTAGATGAATCTCGATTTTATAAAGGAAATACATTTGAAGTGCTTATAAAAAGAAAGAGTAATTGGTTTATTGAAGATGTTGTGCCTCTGTTACTACTTGAGAATGGAATAACTTCTGTCTAATCATAAAAATTGTAATGCCAATATTGGTACTTTTTCAAATTACTGTGTTCTCATAAAGGTTTGCTTTCGTCCCATTAGTTGGTTGATCGTGTTTTTGATGAAAGCCTCAACTTCCGAAAGATTCCTCCATTAGTTCATTCCAAAACACCAGAAGGAAACAACGGTCGATCTGGTGATCCAAGACCTCAAGCAGCAGAGCCTCCCGATCACTTAACAATTACAAGGCGGAGAACCTGGAGCAGGGATGAAGTAAGTAAACTATAAATTTTAACATGTGGCAGAAGCAGCATATTCCATAAGTAAGAAAAGGAGGAACCATTCAGTGAGTAGGGCTGGGGAAAAAGTGATTCTCCTTAATGAATGCAATGAAATTTCACCATGACATCACATCATATACAAATAATTATGTCACTTAGAGGTTAGCGAAAATAATACTGTAATTGTTTTTTCTCATTTAAGTTCATGAATATGAATTTAGTTCTTAAATTCATTCTCTAAATGAATTTAGTTCTTAATGCATGAAAAACTGTAAAACTTTTACTTAAAAAATACAGACAAATATCTTTCAATATTGTACTAGGGAGTGATTTCTTAAGAGAAACACAAACTTTTGGCCTTAGAAAATTGAGACATTTGAGTATATTAAAATTAAGGACTTTTTCTTTATTAAAAAATAAAGAAGGTAGAAATACAAGTTACAAACTTTTGCAAAACATACAGCCTATGAAGGATTAGTATACAGTATATATAAAAAACTCCCTCCAATCAATTAAAAAACACAATAGAAAAATCTGCAAAGACGTGAACAACATTTCACCAAAGAGAAAATACCGAGGCGGGCAGATCACCTGAGGTCAGGAGTTTCAGACCAGCCTGGCCAACATGGTGAAACTCCGTCTCTACTACAAATAAGAAAATTAGCCGGGCGTGGTGGCATGTGCCTGTAATCCCAGCTACTCAGGAGGCTGAGGCAGGAGAATCACTTGAACCCGGGAGGCAGAGGTTGCAGTGAGCTGAACCCACACCACTGCACTCCAGCCTGGGTGACAGAGTGAGACTCTGTCTCCAAAAAAAAAAAAAGAAAAAGAAAATACTTAAGGCCTACAAAACATGAAGAGAAGTTTAACTTAACAAGCATTCAGAGAAACGCATGTCAAGACTACAGTGAGATTATAATCATTCAATTGTTGACATGTTAAAGTCTTAAAATGTTAAGTATTGGAGGAAAGGTAGCTACATAGGCTTTCTTATGTGTGGTTGGTGGAGGTTAAGTTGGTGCCGCAGCTCTGGAAAACAGTTTGACACTATCTCCTAAAGTTGAAAATAAAGACATCACATGATCTAGCAATTTTCTTGCTAGTATATGTACAAGAAAAACCCTTTCCCATTGACAGTAGAAGTTACATTTATAGTAACATTGTTGACAGTATCAAAAACTTGGAAACTGTTTACATCAGCTGAAAAGTGAATGTATAAACTGGTATATTCCCAAATTGAACAATAATAGAGTAATAAAAAACTCAAAGATATAAAGGAGTTTCTTCATAAAAGAATGGTTATTTCAAATACTACTGTGGAAAGAGGTGATTTATGAACAACACACAGAGGTGGTATAGGCTTAAGGGCTGGGTAGAGGAATAATGTAGAAAGAAACAGTTGACCAGAAGAGATTGATCATAGATTAATATCTGTGGATCCCTGGATTTAGGAATAAGATCTTGAGATTATTATGTAAGAATATGTATGTTTCTCATGGTACTGAGTAGAAAAAGATCTACCTGGTAGAAAAGTATGCAACTAGCCCGAAAGTTACAACTGAAGTATACTAAAACGTTTTACAGCATACTTGATCTGTCCTGGCCTAATAGTTGATTTGTTCTTGGTATCAGGAAAAGAGCCTATTCTCTAAACTTACTCATAATCATTCTGTCCCGATGTCTAGGAAGACAAATTTCTCCAAACATAATAAAAAACTATGTGGAAGAAGTGTATGTTTTTAAAGAGAATGGAAACATCTAGATTGATAGTTATCTCAAGGTTGATATCAGGAATTTATTTAATACTTTGTGACAACAAACTAAACTTCATGAGCAAAGAAAAGAGAAATATCCTATTCTGTGTTGCAATGTTTCCTTAGACTCTCCTGCCCTTTCTCATGCCTTCCTAATTTGTATATGTCTTCCATCCTTATTTGATTGTTTTCTTAAGGCCCACAAAAACCATTTTGCTTATTTATCCTTTCCTTGACAATGTTATTTTTCACAACCTAAATAAACTTTTATTACCCACTAAATTCAAATCCTTGTCATTCTGAAGTTAGTTCACGTTTTTCCATGATCACTTCCTTATTTATGCCACTCATCAATGAACTCTCTTTCATTAGAATTCTTTTTTTTTTTTTTTTTTAATTTTGAGAGGGAGTCTCGCTTTGTCACCAGGCCGGAGGGCAGTGGTGCTATCTCCGCCCACTGCAACCTCTGCCTCCCAGGTTCAAGCAATTCCCCTGCCTTAGCCTCCCGAGTAGCTGGGACTACAGGCACGCACCAGCACGCCCCGCTAATTTTTGTATTTTTAGTAGAGATGGGGTTTCACCATGTTGGCCAGGATGGTCTCGATCTCCTGACCTCGTGATCCACCCACCCCAGCCTCCCAAAGTGCTGGGATTACAGGCGTGAGCCACTGCGCCCGGCCTCATTAGAATTCTTGCAGCACTGAGTCCCAAAATTTATGTGAACGTCTCTTGTTTTGTAGGCCTTAGGCTTTATGATAAAACATGTAATCGTATTCCCTGTATATTACCGTCACCTCTCCCAGTGGTCTTTAAACCTTTTTGCCTTCTAGGGCCTTATTTTCTGTTTTCTTTCAGGCTCTGGATATAGTACTGACAATATAAGGAGTTCATTTTGAAACCCACAGCTAGACTCAAGTTTTGACCTTTTTCTACCATGCTTCGTTAGCTTTGCCTTTCATGATTTGGCCTAGGGCTTGGCAAACTTCAGCCCATAGGCCAAATCCAACCTGTCACTTGTTTTGTAAAAGTTTTGTTACAACACGGCTATGTCCACATGCATAATTTGCTCATTATTTATGGCTGCTTTCACTCTGCAAAGGCAGAGTTGAGGAATTGTGGCAGAGACCCTATGTCCCTCAAAGACTAAAACCTTCACCCTCTGGCTCTTTACAGAGGTTGGTGACCCCTGGTTTTGCCCATGCATCTCAACTGGGGTAATACCAACACTCAGTACAAAAACTTACTATTTTGTGTAAATTTTTCAAAATGTGTGTTTCCCACTAGACTCTTTGCTGAAGAACAAGGATTGTACTCTTCTTGATTTCTGTATTCACATTACTTAGACCCTGTGTCCCTCAAAGACCAAAACCTTCACCCTCTGGCTCTTTACAGAGATTGGTGACCCCTGGTTTTGCCCACGCATCTCAACTGGAGTAATACCAACACCCAGTATAAAAACTTACTATTTTGCGTAAATTTTTCAAAATGTATCTTTCCCACTAGACTCTTTGCTGGAGAACAAGGATTGTACTCTTCTTGATTTCTGTATTCACATTACTTGGTGAAAGAATAAATAATAAATTTAGTACTCTAAGTTATTTGTATCTTCTCTTTTATAATTCAGTTGGAAGTAAGAGAGACAGGATCACAATATTAATTGAAGATAAACTGAGGATAAAATGGATTGTGTTTGGAAACTGATATGACCAAAATAATACGGAAACTTTGACAAGTTATTTAATAATAAGAACTCCTTTGTTAATAGTGTTTCTTTCACTTTCTCATTTTAGTTACATATTAATTATATTCTTCACTGGTTTATAATTAAAATAAGCATAAATACTAACTGCCCCTAACTATAGTGACTTGTGACTAGTGATCTCAGTAGTTATACAATACAGGGGTAATATTTTAATATCTACTTTTTTCTTTGGCTGTTTCAGGTCATGGGAGATAATCTGCTGCTGTCATCCGTCTTTCAGTTCTCTAAGAAGATAAGACAATCTATAGATAAGACAGCTGGAAAGATCAGGTACATGTACATATAGCTTTAACTTTAATATCACCTCACTTTGCTTTTTGCTTTTTCTCAAGGTTAAAAATGTATCATCAGAATGAATATGTTTACCTTTGGAAAAATTTGTCCCAAAGTAAATATCTATCCAGTACTACTTTATAACTTTAAATTTATTAGTAATTCAAAACATAAATAGACTTACAGATTTTATTCAACAGTACTTCAGAAATCCATGCTGCTATTGCTTATTTCTGATTCCTATAATTAAAATTTAAAATGTAATGAAACAGTATTTGAACATGGTTTGTGAATTGTAATATTCCACACAAATATAATTCTATATTGCTTATATATTGAAATAATATATTTTATCAGCATTTGATGAGTACCAAGAAGCCATTAAATTTTTTCAAAAACAATTTGAAAAGCACCATTTGAAAATTAAAGTATTCTTAAAAACAGTCTATTTAACTTAAAATAATCTGTTTTAAGTTACTGTAAACGAAGTTCGCATCATCTTCTAGAAAAATTGAGAAATTCAGAAGGAAATGTAGAAAGTTGGCCTATATAGGTAAATTTTACTTGGCATGTTAAGAAACAGAAAGAGCTTTCTTTTTATCTTGAGCCTGTATCTTAAAAATTTCTTAAAGGTGGCCGGGCATGGTGGCTCATGCCTGTAATCCCAGCACTTTGGGAGGCCGAGGCAGGCGGATCATGAGGTCAGGAGATCAAGATCATCCTGGCTAACACGGTGAAACCCTGTCTCTATTAAAATTCAAAAAAATTAGCCGGGCGTGGTGGCGGGCGCCTGTAGTCCCAGTTACTCGGGAGGCTGAGGCAGGAGAATGGCGTGAACCCGGGAGGCAGAGCTTCCAGTGAGCCGAGATCGCACCACTGCACTCCAGCCTGGGCAACAGAGTGAGACTCTGTCTCAAATAAATAAATAAATAATAATTTCTTGAAGGTGTACCAGACTTTCTCTTCACTTTATTGCCTCCTAAAAGAATATTAATTTAAAATTCCTTATGTTAAAAGTAATGTATTCTGCACCGTCTTGTCCCATTTTTCTATTTATTTTAAAATGTGTAGCTTTTTAGCAAAAGTAATACATCAACATGGTTAAAAAATATGAATATTCCAGAAAAATATTTATTATATCTAATAGTGGGTGTGTTTCCCCACTCTGGGTTCATTTCTCAACCGTCTATACAAACTTGATCATATTTTATCTACTTTTGTACCTTGATCTTTTCTCTTAATTAGATCTTTACTTTCCCCAAAGAGTATGAGTGAAATGTATTGACAGACCCCTCCATATTTGATTGGCATATGAGGCATGCTGCCTTAGTGAAAAAATAGCTGAGTCTGGGTGCAGTGGCTCATGCCTGGTAATCCTAGCACTTTGGGAGGCCAAGGCAGGCGGATCATTTGAGCCTAGGACTTGAAGACCAGCCTGAGCCACAAAGCGAGATTAAAAAAAAAAAAAAAAAAAATTGGCTGGGCATGGTGGCACATGCCTATAGTCCCAGTTATTTGAGAGGCTGAAATCGGAGGATCACTGGAGCTCATGAGTTCAGAGTTACAGTGAGCCATGATCATGGCACTGCACCACAGCCTGGGCAACAGAGCAAGATCCTATCTCAAAAAACAGCAATAGAATGTTTAAAACGTTTGGCTTTTCGTAAAGAGTACCTTGTACATATAAATAATGTTGAAGGTGTTTTTAATGACTACCATTACGTACCTATCCATTGTTTTTTTAAAGGGAATTTACCTTTATCAATTCCCATATATTCTTATGAATTTTAAATAGACTTAATTTTCTACAGAATAATATTTTAATATTTACTTAACAAATAAGTATTAGGTACATTCTAGGTACTTTATAATTAGACATTGACAAAACAAAGACCCCTGTTCTCATGAAATTTACATTCTATATCATGTAAACCAGTCAGCTTGTATTAAGTTAGCTATTTCTGCTATCTACACATGATTTGACTTAATTTCATTATTTCACTTGAATATTACCTGTATTTTACTACCCACATTTTCTATTTCCACTTGAAGCCCAATAACCTGCATCAACTTTTTCTTATTATTAAAATCACTGGTTACACTGATGAGATAAAAAGTATAATAACAATATTAATTTCAGGTATAAATTGGAACCTTATTAACTAAAAAATTTTAAGGCTTATAATTGATTTTAGAGAAATTAAATTAGTTGAATGCTGTTTATAAATACCACATTTTATAAATCCTGATAGGGCTTATAAATGAGTCCATTGTTTTTCTTTTACTCACACTCAGTGATTAAGTAATTAGCACCCTGTTATTGTCTTACGTGAGATATAGTACATGTTTTCCCCTAGTGACTCCATCATTCCTAGGTTTACTTCTTTCACAAGTAAGAGAATCCCCTTCACCGTACAACCCATTCACCTATGATTTGCTAATATATCCTATGGCCAGAGACAAATGAAGTCCACCATTCCCTGGGGTAAAGCCTAACTGAAATTTGTAGGGAAAAAAATTTTAAGCTTAACTTACTAGTTTTTACACATGAATAAACAAATCTATAGGCCTCAATCACACAGCTGCTTATTAATATCATGATTTGGCTCAAGCATTCATTGTAGTTAAATGTAATATATAATTGTTATCATTTTTATTTTAGTTCCACTAAAATTATTTTCTAAAGCTGGGGCATTATGGAAGGATTATTAACCAAAGAAATAAATAAATGAAATAAACATTGGTTAAGATCATCTTATATGGGAATAAAGTCTCCAGACTCATTCATTCATTGAATGATTTTTGACTGTATGTTATTTGTCTAGCACTGTTTTTGATGTCCTCACATTTGAGTGTAGAAGGCAGGTAAACAGTTAATTATAGTTCAGTGTGTTAAGGGAAATATAGGATGGTTACTATGGAAGCCCATAGCAAGGGCACTTGGGAAATTCAGAGAAGGGCTCTTAGAGAAATTGCCATGCAATTTAAGTCCTGAATGATGAGGAGAGGAGTTACTCAAAAGCTATGTGAAGTGAAAGGGCCAGAGTATGGTGAGAGATGACACTAGAGAGATGAGGATGGATCTGTTTTGGCAGAATTTGTTAAGGAGTTTGGATTTTATTATTAAAAACCATAGGAAGCTAATATATCCAATATGGGTCCTCTTGATACACCAGTGCTATCTGTAAAAATATCATGAGAGTCTTGTATGGTCATGTGGCTTGCACCTGGAAAACCCTGGAGTCTCCTTACCTGTAAACAAGTACACAGTGTTTTTTCATCCTACCTACTGAAATACAGGTCCGTCCCTGCTAACTGGAGTCTTAACCACTCATTCATTTATTCAGCAGATGTTCACAGATTACCTGCTGTGTACCATTCTCTTCCTTACCACGGAGCAGCTTTCCTACGTTCTGTAGTCTCCCCCAAAGAAAAATATTTTTTGTAGCTTTGACATTGAACTAAAATTGAGAACAAAGAAGACATTGCTGATGGATTGATAACCTGTGTTGTCTCAGAAAGTGACAGAATTTATAAAGTTTAAAAAAGGATGCATAAAAATGCCTCAATAAAGTTATACATAAATACAGAATGTTTAATGTATTTGAATTGCCTTCAGTTCGAGTGTTGAGTTTTACTATGCATAAAGCACTATGGCAGGCTTTATGGAAGGTAATGAGGATAAAACCATTTCTATTATTAAAGAGTTTCCAGTGTAGTTGGCAAGGTGAGGCACATATGCAATCAACTGTCGTACAAGATAGCGTATAATAGATTAGTGCTCAGTTAGAGATATAAAGGCAAAGGAAGGATCACTTTCACCTAGGAGGTTTAGGGAAGGCTTTGGGAAGAAGATACTATTCAAAGGTAGGTCTGAGTTGTGATAACCAAACCTAAGGGGTAGAGACCTGGGCCTTCTGCGTGGAAAGTGCCAGGGTAGTTTGAGAATCAACTGGTCTTTAAGCTTTGTGTCAGGAGTTATAACCTCAAATGTCTACTGGGGTTCATCCTAGAGGCATGCGTACTTACATTGTATGAACACTGTCTGTGGAATCCATTTTTAAATATTTATACAGGAACTCCTGTTGTACAGCATTCTCATTGCATTCCATGTGAAAATGACCCCCTTAGGTTGTGTAGCATGGCCTTGCATTGGTAGACTCTCAATTCGCAACTCCGCGTTCGCATGTTTTAAGGGCTAGTACTAGGGAATTGGTTATGGCTCATAGAATAGGAGCCTGAGACTTCTGTTTGTTTCCCTAAAACCAATGGCTTTATCAAAAGTATTTTAACTTAATTCTTAAATTATTGAATGAAATAAGCTTTGGAATTTTATGTATTTTCATGCTGAAGTTTAGCTTATTTTGAATCTATAATATAATCTGAATATCACTTTGAAAGCTATGATTTTTTCAGCTTAAAATTGATAAGGACCTTCAAACAAAAACAAGTTCTGGTCATTATAGCCTGGTCTAAACTAATTTCTTGGTCTGGTTTTCTGATTCTCTAGTATTTAAATATTAAATATTATAGTAAATATTATAGTAAAGTTTATTTCATAATGCCAAAATGACAAGTTTGACTTCTTAGATCTGTTCTATTATATATTACAAATTGTTTTTTGTTTTTTTGTTTTTTTGTTTTTTGTTTTTTGTTTTTGAGATGGGCTGGAGTGCAGTGGCATGTTCACAACTCACTCACTCAGTGCAGCCTCGACCTCCCTGGGCACAAGCAATCCTCCCACCTCAGCCTTCTTAGTAGCTAGGACTACAGGCATCTGCACCACACCTGCTAATTTTTTTGTATTTTTTATAGAGACGAGGTCTCGCCATGTTGCCCAGGCTGGTCTCGATCTCCTGGCATCAAGTGATCCACCCACCTTGGCTTCCTAAAGTGCTAGGATTACAGGCATGAGCTATTGTGCCTGGCCAACAAACTGTATTTTAAAATAAACCATTTATTTCTTCAGGGGGGCATTTTTTTTTCAGGGGCAACCCGTGAAAAACCCATTTTCACCAAAGGTGAAATGTCTATGGTTTAACAGTTTTAGATCCACAAACACTATACTCAGTAGCCATCCTCTGGAAAAATTCACTGAATTTTTAGCACTGTGTGGCTAAACAGAGTCTTTCTCTATTGTATAAGTCCATTACAGTTCTAAGCTGGTCCATGAAATAGTCATTATTTCCTTATTTTCCATCAGTCCTAATGCTGCAAGGACTCTTTTACAAGAACATAATAATTTAGAAAAGATGGCTGGCAAGGGTGTTCATTTTTTTGAGTTTAGAAAATTTAATAAGTAGGCCATAAGAATATTCTTATACCAGATTCTAGACCCGTTGCCACCTTAAGCAAATGTTCCAGACTTGATGTGATGTTAATGAGTTTCATGTTTTTAAATAAGGTAAGTCTGGCATGTTGATCTTTGAAGAAATACCAGCACAAATATTAACTTAGTTTACTACTTAAATGCTGATCAGCTTGCAGTAGTAATACATTTACATGAGGTTATATAGTGTTGTTTAAACTAGATTTCCAGGCTTACTGAAAAAAATTTAAAAGAAACCAAAAAAGTAGCTAGTATTTACATCTAAGACTGCTGAATCATGTCTGATAGACTCTAAAGTGTTAGAAAAGTGTCCCACATTTGAAAGACACGTCAAAATTTTGTGGTCCTTTATTTTATAAGTTATTTGATGTTAGGGTAATGATAGGATAATTATCTTTATTGGCAATTGTTTTTATCAAAAGGGTAGCATCCTAATTCCTAATAGGTTATTATGTGCAAGTATACTAACACGAATTAACAATTGTTAAAGAAAAGCACAGTAAGTACTCCCAATTTTTTGTCTTCAAAATAATATACACACTTTTCTTGATCGATAAGGTGCTTATTCCCATATAAAGAGGTCTTAACAGACACAATTGTTTATACCTAATTCAACCTATTTTCATCTCACTTATTCCTATACTGCATATATTCTGTCTGAATAAAATTGCATTTTCTTTATAAGTGACAGTTACACAGTCTTTTCTCCTTATACCCAGGTGATACATGTTGTTCCAAGATACCCACTGGATGCCTGACACCACAGATAATTCTAAAACCTAATATACTGTGTATTTTCCTACACATACATGCCTATGATAAAGTTTAATTTATAAATTAGGCACAGTAAGAGATTAACAATAGTAACTAATAATAAAATAGAACATTTGTAACAATATACTGTAAAAAAAAGTTATGTGAATGTGGTCTTTTTTTTTCTCTCTCTCTCTCTCCCTCTCCCAAAATACTGTAATAGTTACGGACCATGCTTGACTGCCACTAACTAAAACCATGGAAAGAGAAACTGTGGATAAGAGGGCATTACTGTATTGTAAATTATAAATATTAAAGTTTTGAGGTCATAACATCATTTACATTTGTTTTATATTTTGTTTTCAATAAAGAATAAGATAAACAGTAAAGAATTTATGCATGTATTAATAAGCATTCAATTGGAGCTCATACACATGAATTAATTGGTACTGTTGGCTTAGTATTTTAATTCTCAGTTTATGCGGTGGTTGGTTTTTTTTCTTTGTGTACCTTTGAAAAGATACATTGCTTTGGTATTATTAACAAAAAAGTAATAGGTTTTTAAAATATAAAAAGTTATATGCTTATGTTTTTTGATTTATAGAATATTATTTAAAGACAAAGATCGGAATTGGGATGACATAGAAAGCAAATTAAGAGCCGAAAGTGAAGTCCCTATTGTGAAAACCTCAAGCATGGTATAGTAATTTTTCTTGAAGATTAAAACATTTTAATAGAGTTTTATTTTAAGGAAAAGACCCTTATTTTTGAGCTGTTCGTTGATTTGCTTTTTCAAAAGAAGATATAAATGCAAAATTTTGGGAAATTTTATTTCTTCTACTGACTCACAGGTTTAAAATGTTGATTGTTTCAAAGTTGCAGAGGGTATGAAGGAGGAGCCTTTTGTGTTTCTTACTAGTATAGATTGTTCTTGTAATAATTAAACATTAGAAACATGAAATTTTTAAAGAGAACCAAATCTAACATGAAAATATTAAGTTGACATAAGTCGTTTCCGTTTACTTAATATAATGCTTATCTTCTTTTTAAAAGAATTTGTACAGATTTTCATTGCTCAGAATATAATTATAATATTGAGGTTGCAGTTTATATGTTTTTACAAAGATAATTTGAAGGCATTTTTACATAGTTATTGCAAGGTTGATTAATAAGAATTTTAAAAATCTTTGCGGCCGGGTACTGTGGCTCACGCCTATAATCCCAGCACTTTGTGAGGCCAAGGAGGGCGGATCACTTGAGGTCAGGAGTTGAAGACCAGCCTGGCCAATATGGCGAAACTCTGTCTTTACTAAAAATACAAAAATTAGCCAGGCATTGTGGCGGGCGCCTATCATCCCAACTCCTTTGGGGGCTGAGGCAAGAGAATTACTTGAACCTGGGAGGAGGAGGTTACAGTGAGCCAAGATTGCGCCATTGCACTCCAGTCTGGGCGACAGAGTGAGACTCGGTCTCAAAAAAAAAAAATCTTTGCTTAAATAGTAGTAAATGTTAAACTTTTCATCTGCTACAATCATCTCACTGAAAAAGTTATTGTATTTCATTTTAGTTTAAATATTTTAATTTGAATCTTGTTTGCTAGATATCATAATTATTTCATATCATGTTGCTATTAATGTAGTAAGTACCATGTAGATAATATTAAGTGTTCCAAATAAAGTGAGAGTGAAATTCATTGCTTGTAAAGTGATAACATTTAGCTAAAAGTAGGCTAATTTTTGTTATTGCTTTCCCTGCAGGAGATTTCTTCTATCTTACAGGAACTGAAAAGAGTAGAAAAGCAGCTGCAAGGTAAATTTACTACTGAATTAAGTATAAAGAGCTAATAATTTAGAATAAGTGCCTTCTGAGTGGTATTTCTTAAAATATTGTTAGGATGTTATTTGATTAAATGTAATGACATACATAAAATACAGAGTTCAAACATTCACATTATTCATAAAAAGGAATTTTTTTAAACCCAGTATAAAAATTTAAAATGTAATAAAGATATATGTTGGGCATATTTTAGTTCATAGGTTTGACAGTAGGCTAGATGTCATAAACTAATTGAAATTTTTTATGTATTACATATAAATAATATGTGAAAAATATATAATAAAGTTGTGTTAATTAGCATTATTTGTGTGATTTGACAGTTCTTAAATTATGTTGGTGGTGTAACCTGAAACAAACTTACATTCTAATAGAAATAATAGTTGTTTGGTTGACAAGAAATGAGTACATATTGGCCATAGAGACCAGAAGAGAAAGGAGAGAAGAAAGTGAAAGAGGCTGCCCTCTAAACTTGTCAGAGCTGGGCTGTGCATTAATGCCTATGTATGTCTTGACCCAGAAGTCCCCAGTGGTACAACAGGCAGGTTCCATAGTCAACTGCTAATTCTACTGAGTCTTTATCTATCGAATAATCATAGGTACTTATGTGGATCCTATCAAAATGATTTTTCATCTTTATTTAGCCCCAACACACCTAAGGGTTATGGTACACCCCATGAGTAAAAGTGGCTTGCTAACACAGTGCTTGTTAGCTGGTAGACTGGGGGTATACTTTTAAAAGTCCCTTCTACATGATTCTTACATCTATGTTACTTCCTTCTCCCAACTCCCTACTCTGCCCAATGCCAAATTGAAAATCACCGCCTGAGAACTTTCCATGTCAACCCAAAGATCTTTTGGACTGAAAGCTGACCTTTAACTGACCCCTTCCATATAGGCAGCAAGTCTGTTTGGCTTTGCAAGCTGCCCTGTGATATTAGTCTGTAGGCTCTGAGGGAACCCCTGTATCTCAGTGGTGTATACAGCTGATAACCCTAGCACTCTGGCCAGGCTAAATGACCGTATTCTATGGTAGCATTCAAAGTATGCTGATGTTCTTCTGGCCTCTCCAGCCTTGAGGTTACTCTGAACCCTGACTTAGCAGCTAATACCTCAGTTATCTGAGTGATGTGGGTTTAGATGTTTATTAAAAATCATATTCAGTATTTTCTCGGTCCTCTCACAATAATGAAGACAAATTTCAACAAGATTTTTCTTGAATTCCACATCTTCAAATACCAGACTTACAAGTCTCTGAAATGCCCGTAAGTGCCACATCAAAGGACCCAGAGAAAGTATTCAGGGCTGGGTGATTTACAGTACAGCTACAGAATAACTAAGAATGGAGTTTTAAATATAATATTGGAAGATTAGCCACATTTAAGATCACATACGCACTGATAGTTTAAATATTATCCAAATCATGAACAGTGTTTATATGTGAATGTAACTGCATCTAAAATTATTTCCTTTTCCCGCCCTTTAGCAATCAATGCTATGATTGATCCTGATGGAACTTTGGAGGCTCTGAACAACATGGGATTTCCCAGTGCTATGTTGCCATCTCCACCGAAACAGAAGTCCAGCCCTGTGAATAACCACCACAGCCCGGGTCAGACACCAACACTTGGCCAACCAGAAGCTAGGGCTCTTCATCCTGCTGCTGTTTCAGCCGCAGCTGAATTTGAGAATGCTGAATCTGAGGCTGATTTCAGTATACATTTCAATAGATTCAACCCCGATGGGGAAGAGGAAGATGTTACAGTACAAGAATGACTTTCTCTTGATTGTTGAAAAATCATTACCTGTGGAATGGCTAGGAATATTGGAAGCAGCATAGTGTTGATGTACGCAAAACAAGACAGCTTGGTCAGCTACAATCTTGGAATCCCTGTCTTCTTAATTTTATTTATTTATTTTTGACGTATAATGTAGTATATCAATCCTTTCAAACTATTTAGATAACCACTTGATGCACAAATAGGAAAAAGCAGATTGTGGCAGTGTCGCCTTTTGTGGTTTTATGATTTTCAAATTGAATTTAATGATTACACCCTTTCCCTTCATAGATCTTTTTTCTTTTTTTTAAGCCATGCTGTGACCTACAAGCAAACTAAATAGCCAACATTTCTGAACCCCTAAGTCTCCTGTGCCAAGCTGCTCCCTGAAATGGACTTCTTCATCTGTACAGATTTGTTAAACCATTCTATTTGCTTCTTAATAATAGGATTTATATTAGTACTCATTACCATTGGACACAATGACATAAGTACTCTCCACAGTAAAGCAGACCTTTCACAACAGTCACTCTGTGTCCTAAAATTTTCCAACATAGATGTGATTTATATAACTTTGTTGATACGTAAATTGTCTTGGGGTTTACGGAAATTAACTATTATGTTTGCACTAAGATTTGCTGGGAGTGGTAGGTGGACATATCTATATATCAATAAGGACTAACCGTCTTTTTTGTACATAGGAGATTGATAATACTGTATTTGTTTTAAGCCCACAGTGTTTTACTCCACTTTCAAAAAGATCAATTTGGCACTTTTTTTCATTTTTTTTAATGGAAATAAGATTTGGTCTCTCATTTTAGGTTAAATGATAACTAGAAAGATTAAACTAGACAGATAGTTTAGGTGGAGTATATTTTTAAAACTCAGAACATGTATATTGGTCCTGTGTTACCAAGTTTATATGTGACAGTTGAAAAAGAAATTCCCTTGAAATGATCATGAGGTTAAAATTTTCTTCATTAGGGGACTTGGAGAACCAGTAGTCGTAAGATTAGTTGATAGTTTCACTCCCAAGCAATGAATTGCTTCTGTGTGTTTCCCTGTAGGACTCAATAGTAAATGCTGTCTGTCTTACACATTTATAAGGACCCTGCAAGACGACGACAAAGGCCTTTGGCCTGTGCTACTAAACAAGAAGCCTATGAAAAATTTCTTCTTTAAACTTGTTTTTTCTCTTTCCAGTAAGTTCACATTTGGATAATTTTAAAAAGAAAAGTAATTACCTTTGTGTTTCCAGAACACTATAATTGGGGTGTATCTTAATTCAGTTAAATATTATTAGTAGACCTGGATTTTCCCCCTTGACCCCATCAGTCTATAAAGGTTAAACTGCAACTTTTATGAAATGGTCTTTAATATTTCCACAATAATCCTGTGCTATATTTGTTTTAAGAAACAAAGTAACTCTATACACTTCAAGACTTTACAGGATTTTTTAAATCCTGTATTGTTGGATCAATTAATAAAGATGCAAAAAAACTTTATAGAGATGTAAAAACAAAACTATAATGGATCTCCTATTTTTCTTTAAATACAAAAAAAAAAAGGTAAATGAACTATTCTCCTTGTAAAGCTAAATTCCCCATTCTGTCTAATAAAGGAAGACTGAAAAAAGGTTTTAAAGAACATAAATGGAAAGATACAAATGCTTTGAAGGAATAAACGAAATGTTAAAACAGGGTCAATCCATTTGAAGAAAAAGTTGGACAAAATAATCAGCATTGCTCCCTCTTTTATTTAATATTTGGGTACTGATTATATCCACATGGAAGTAGAAGGTAAGGAGTTTAGGAAAATACTAGAATCTACTCTGCTTACATTCTTGTTTAAGTGTTTACACAGTTTGGTTCAATTATAAACATTTGGCCTTTTACTATGTTATTTTTATTTTGTATGAATACATTATCCTCCTTATTTATTTTTGTTACATTTATTACTTATGTTATTTTGTTATGCATTTACAACTCCATTTTTAAATAAAGTGTTTCTGGAACTTTATACAATGATTGTATATTTTATTTCTTTTACCATCTTGCTTGCTAATACTTCATCAACTTATCAAATGATTATAAACCATTTCCCAAGGCTTAGCAAAAGAAAGAATCCTCCAGTTCTATTAATATGTGGTTACTGTGAAATCTCTTATTAGTTTGACTATTTAAAGAAAAAAATTTTCTTAGCAGATTCTGATCAATATAATTCACTTAGCTTCATGTCCTAAAGTAATGTGCATGTACAAGGTCTTTATTTTTAACCAGCTTTAGATCATCAGAAAGCTTTATGACAGTGATGTATTTGGGGAATAAAGTAGAAATTTAAAATACTTTTGTCATCTTAAATTCAATAACTGTCAATTTATACTGTTTTTTTTTTATCCTATCAAGCTCAAGAATCTTGAATGTCTCATTATTATTATTCAAAATTATAAGTTTCACAGCTTAACCTTTTGAGACTTTGTGTGTTCTGGCCCTTTTCTTACGTGCGTATCTATGTGTCCCATTATAGTATCTACCACCATTTACAAGTTTCTTGACCACCATGAGCTTTTCATCCTTCTGTACCCTGCGTCTTCCTCCCCTTCCTTCCTGCTTCAAGGTCCCACCAACCTCTTCATAAAGCTTCCTCCACTTGACCGCACCACAAAGGGCTGTGCCACATGCGTGCATTTTCTCTTCCCTTCCCCCATGACATATACACGTTTCTTCCCTGGTAACTAAAGTAATCTTCATTTCCTGGATAGTCCCTTTGCTTTGAAACATCTGTGCCGTTTTGTCTCCTTCATCTCTCCTTGGATTTGCTTGCCACATCTCTGCCTGAAAGGATTCTAACTTGGAAAGGAAACCAAACTTGGAAGTTTGAGATCCAGACCCGCTCCCTCCTAGCTATCAGTGTGTTCCGTCCTCCCATCTGCAAACTTAGGACACTAGTGTCATTATCCAAGTCCCTTTTAGTCTAAGTTGTCTATGACTTTATGAAATGTTCTCCTTCAAAAAGCTTTTTCTGATTCTTTGTCATTTCAAATCTTCCTTTTCATTGTGTTTGCATAACCCCTTTGTGTTTGCATAATACAGAAAGTTCTTAGAAACCAAAATAAAAATGTATTTAATTGAATCAGCATCAATTGAGATGTACGTACTTACTTTCAAGAAACAGTCTATTGGGAGATGGCTGTGTAAACAATTCACTCTAAGGTGAGGTAGAATGGGATCTCTACACGTAGGAGACAAATGCAGCCTTTTTTTTTTTTTTTTTTTTGTCTTCTATGTTTAGGTAAGGGGGACAGGCAGGGAGCCAACAACCACAGGCATCTGGCTGCCAGCAAGGGTTTGGGGGAGGTTTATGAAGCGTCTTTGTCTTTGAGTGATGGTCTCTCATGTGACAGTAGTCAAGCCTGCTTCTTCCTGTAAGTCTTTAACACGACACAGTTGTTTACATGCTTTCATCACAGTTAGTTTCAAAAACTACATGGTTGCTGTTTTTGTGTTTTACCCCAGTGCTCTAAAAGCATCCTAGCCTACGTACAGAAATGGCTCAAAGCCTCTTAAATGGAAATGGAATTGGTTATGTTCATTCTTTTGCTATTTCACTATTACGTTTGTTGCTGCTTTTCCTGAATCTTGACCATAAGGAAAAGTTCCCCGTCAGCCACATTCTGTCTCTAACACCTCACCACCTGGAACAGATTCTTGTTGAATATTTAGTTGTCTTTAACTCTTGTGCATCCTGCAATGTACAACAAACATTTTGTAGATTTTGTTAATTAAAATATTTTAGAGTTATTATGACCACTATAACTTACTACTGCTACTGTGAGGTCTAACCTTGAACTGAAGGATGAAAAATTATTTAAATTTTGAAGCATAGTACATTAGCTCTAGAAATGCTCAACACTAGTTCAGCAACGTCATATTTAGAGTAATTGAAACAAATATAACAAGGAGTGAGGGGCTGTTTTTTCTAGGCAGTATAATAAATGCTTTACCTGCACTGTCCCTTTTAATGCTCACACCTCATTAATAAGCTGTTACTCCTGCATTAGAGATGAAGGAACTGAGGCAGCAGCCCAGTTGGGATTTGATCAACACGTATTTGACTTGGAAATCCAAACTGTTTATAACCATTCTCCACGGGCTGTCACCCAGCAAACAACTGGTAGAGCCTAGACAAACCAAGTGACTTGTATTCACCCTTTACAGCTTTGTCTCGTGACCACAGACCCGAAGAGGTCACCAGGCCCTTCCTCTGCTTTTGAGTAGAACTTCTAGAGCTGGGGATCCTGACATTTCTCCTAGTAAGCTTCTCTACTGATGACAAGCAATGACCAAATGCTAAGAATGTCTTTGTTATGTGAAACAGATTCTTTGAAAGAGATAATGAACTGTCTCCTTGAAAGCTGGATGTTGGGTGCTTCAGGAAGAATGCTATGAAGAACCACGTCGGTTTATGAGCTGACTGTACTCTCCACTTGTTTTAAAGAGGTGAAACCCAGGGCTGCCAATAGAAACTCTGGTGACTCCACATCAGAGCTACGTGACCAGTGAGCTGCCTCCCAAGGTATTTGTTACAACACTTGTCTCTGAGCAAGGCCAAATAAAATGGAGTAAAAAACCACCCCTTGGACTAACAGAGCATGACCATGGAAATTTCTCAGGACAAACAGTGGCTGGAGTGTAGCAAGGCAGAAAGCAGCATGGTCTTAACCTGACACTTAGAGATAAAACAATAAAAAGTGTAGGGGGCTCCTATGCCAATTTGCAATAATGAGCAAGGGTAGTGACAGTTGGATTTTTCTTGAATGAGAAAAATTTCCATCAAATTTGAAACGAAATAAACACACAAAGTCTCTGTGCTATTTCCGTGGTAATGTTTGCACCCAAGTCTCTGGAGCTCTGGCTTCTCACTTGCTTTTCCATAGTGTCTACTCGGTGATGAAAAGCAGCATTTCATGGCCAAGACTTTCAGCTGTTTGGCAAAGACCATCATGTCCAGCATATGGAGGATCTGTGAACTTTGCCACGTCTGCTTCCTGTTACCAGTCTGTCTATGTTTATAGCCCAGAGTCTTCCCTTCGAGAGAAAAAAAAAAATCAATTTACCCTAAATTTTAATTGCCCTATAAGACTTCATAATATGAACAGCATTTTCAAAAAGGCACAAAGAAAAAAATGGTACAACCACTTTGGAAAACTAGAAATTCCTTATTAATGTACACCTACCACACAACCCAGCCATTCCACTCCTAGGTATTTTACCCAAGTGAAATAAAATCATATGTCCACAAAAACACCTGTACACAATGCTTATAGAAGCCATATTTGTTATAGCTGGTAACTGGGAACATTCCAATGTTCACCAACAAGTGAGTGGATCACAAATAGGATGTATCACAAATAGTGAAACATTCATAAAATGAGATTCCGTTCAGCAATAGAAACGAACATGCTACTGACACACACAGTAACATGGGCCGATTTCAAAAACGTGCTGAGCTAAAGCAACCGACCCAAAAAAGGGCATGCTTTATGAGTCAATTTATGTGAAATTCTAGAAAGGACAAAACACTGATAGTGACTGAGAACAGATCAGTGCTAGTAGGGTGGGAGGTGAGAGGAAATTGCCTACAACAAAATCACAAGCGAGTTTTTTGGGCATGGCGGCAGCTATTCACAGGAGTGAGTACATGTCATGAAACTCACCAGGTACATTTAAAATGATTCTTTTTATCATATGTAAACTATTTCTAAATAAAGTTGATCCATGTTAAAATGGCATGGATAGTTCTCTGTAACTTTGATGCACATAATTACTTCCTCAAACTGCTTTTTGGGGAACATGTCACCTCTTTCTCCTGCATTGCTGTACTGATTCTTAGCTCTCCAAAGCATCCTATTACTAGGAAGTGTCACTGTGACTTTTCCAGAGCTACTGCTTTCCTCTCCAGGGTCAATTTAGGAATCAAGCAGCTTTCAGAGGGAAGAAGTTGACTTTCACAGGACAAAAGCAAGCAATGGTCATTGTGAAGGGCCATCATTGAACTGTATTCCTTTTCATTTAGCTCCAGCAGGTGTAATAAAGTGTGCTAACAGACTGTGGTCAGCTTGGGTTCCGTAGTCTACTATTACCACTTGGAGAGATCCCTGGTTCCTCATCCACACCACCAACAGATGAGCACTAGGCTGACTGCTGAACATATATGCGGTCATTTATTTAAGTATCTCTATGATCAAGCATATTAGGTAATCATCATCTATATATTCACAGGAATGAATATAGTCCTTGTCCTTAACGAAGAGGAAGTTCAAACCCTACCACAAGAGGCAAATACATAATTTTAACACAATTTGTGAAAAAGTTTTCAGCCCAAATTGCTCCCTTCTACCTAGCACTAGGCTTAAAGACTGACCAAACTGGTATTGAATAAATGTTTATTGGATGGATGGATGGATGGATGGATGGATGGATGGATGGATGGATGGATAGATGGATTAAAAGGAGCAAGCAGGCCGAGCATGGTGGCTCACGCCTGTAATCCCAACACTTTGGGAGGCCAAGGCGGGTGGATCACGAGGTCAGGAGATGGAGACCATCCTGGCTAACATGGTGAAACCCCGTCTCTACTAAAAATACAAAAAAGTAGCCGGGCGTGGTGGCGGGCACCTGTGCTCCCAGCTACTCGGGAGGCTGAGGCAGGAGAATGGCGTGAACCTGGGAGGCAGAGCTTGCAGTGAGCTGAGATCGCGCCACTGCACTCCAGCCTGGGCGACAGAGCGAGACTCTGTCTCAAATTAATTAATTAATTAATTAAATAAAAGGAGCAGGCAGAATTCTGATCTCAGTTGTGTCTGAACTAAGATTATGCACTTGGGGCTGGGCACAGTGGCTCACACCTGTAATCCCAGCACTTTGGGAGGCTGAGGCGGGTGGATCACTTGAGGTCTGGAGTTCGAGACCAGCCTGGCCAACATGGTAAAACCCCATGTCTACTAAAAATACAAAAATTAGCAGGGCGTGATGGTGGGTGCCTGTAATTCCAGCTACTCAGGAGCCTGAGGCAGGAGAATCACTTGAACCTGGAGGCAGCGGTTGTGGTGAGCCGAAATCATGCCACTGGACTCCAGCCTGGGCTGGGCAATACAGTGAGTCTCTGTCTCCAAAAAAAAAAAAAGAAAAAGAAGATTATGTACTTAGTTTGAAGGAAAAGGCTTCAGGGAGCCCCCACTATTACAGATTCTGTCTACAAATCACATGGGCCTTTCCTTGGCCTCCTCTCTGGAAATATAAAGTTCCTGCAGAATCAGCAATTTCTTAGTAATTCAGTAGTTTGGTCAGATGTTCCCTCATTGGAAGGAGTGGCAACAACCCTGAAGGACACCAAGTGCTAGCAGGTAAAAGGGCAGACGACGGGTGAGCGGGAAGGTGGGGAGGCAAACTTAACTCATCCACAGCTTTCTGAGAACAGCTGGGAGGGTAAGAGGAGGTGAAGCTGCCTACTTTCTTTTGATATTTCTAAGTACATGCCCCCAGATCAGACCTCAGGTCACCGTATCAAATTATAATATTTGGCTGATGTTCTCTAGAGACTCCTTTGTTTTATGTTGTTTTTCCAGACATGCAGTTCCAGAAGAGTCCACTGTGCTTGCCACCATGGAAAACTGGCCAATGGCCTGAGTGGGATTTACTTTTAGCCAGGTTGTGCTAAGCTGTATGAAAGCAAATATAAATTTCAAAAAAAGAGCCGGAAGACAAAAGTACTGAGCCTCATGGCTTGGATGCAGAAACTGATATTTGTATCAGGAATCTGCTCTGTTGGAGAGAAACTGAAAGCTCTAACCTATTAGATCTCAGAGGTCTCCATATTTTGCTTCTCATGAAAGCACACTAAATGCACAGTCAGTATTTTAAAATGAGCCACACAGTGGAATATTACTCAAATATAAAAAGAAATGAAGCACTGATACATGATCCAACAAGAACGAACCTTGAAAACAGTACGTCAAGTGAAAGAAGCCAGCCACAAAAGACTACAGATTGTATGATTCCATTTATATGTAATGTCTATGAGGGAAAATCTGTAGAAACAGGAAACAGACTAGGGCTGACTATGGCTGGGCATGGGGGGTAGAAGTGGGAGGTTAAGAGTTACGGTTAAAAGACACAGAGTTTTTTTTGGCATCATGAAAAGATTCAAAATTGATTGTGGTGATGGTTGCACTGCTTTGTAAATACATTAAAAACCATTGAATTGGCCGGGCGCGGTGGCTCACGCCGGTAATCCCAGCACTATGGGAGGCCAAGGCGAGCAGATCACAAGGTCAGGAGTTTAAGACCAGCCTGACCAATATGGTGAAACTCCGTCTCTACTAAAAATGCAAAAATTAGCCAGGCGTGGTGGCACTCGCTTGTAATCCCAGCTACTCAGGAGGCTGAGGCAGGAGAATCCCTTGAACCCAGGAGGCAGAGGTTGCAGTGAACCGAGATCGCACCACTGCACTCCAGCCTGGGCGACAGAGCGAGACTCCATCTCAATAAAACAAAAAAAACCAATGAATTGTACAATTACAACAGGTAAATTATTGCCTATATATTTATAACAGGTATGTGAATTATCTCTCAATAAAATTGTTAACAAAAAAAGAAAATAATGAATGATGCATCTTGATATGGTTTAGCTCTGTGTCCCCACCCAAATCTCACTTTGAATTGTAATCCCCATTACCCCCACGTGTCAAGGGCAGGACCAGGTGGAGGTCATCGGATCATGGGGGCGGTTCCCCTAAGCTGTTTCGTGGTAGTGGGTGAGTCTCACGAGATCGGATGGTTTTATAAGAGTCTGGCAATTCCCCGTGCTTGCACTCATTCTCGCTCTCCTGTCACCCTGTGAAGAGGTGCCTTCTGCCATGGTTGTAAGTTTCCTGAGGTTTCCCCAGCCATGCAGAACTGTGAGTCAATTAAGCCTCTTTTCTTAAAAATTACCCAGTCTCAGGTATTTCTTTATAACACTGTGAGAATGGATACATGTCAGGTGAAGACGCAACCGGTTACGGTGCCATGAAAGTGGCCAGTTTTGCATTTATTTGCATTCCTTCTTGCCTGCATGTCCTCTAGATTTTCCTTTGTATTGGTTTTAACATGCTATTGGTTCCCTCATTAATTAATGAGTTAAATAAAATCTTGGCTATATGTGTTCGTTTTTTTTTTAAAAAAGCAAATGGGATATTTCTCATGAAGAGTTTTAGTTTATCAAAATGAATCATACTGGAAGAACTGGAAAGAGTATTACTATCGCCACTCAAACAAGCAGCTACAATGTGCTGACACTGTATTGGGTCCTTCAGTACCTCATTTAATCTTCACAATAACCCAGACTCTTACACAAGAATTCTTAGTCCTATGTTATAGAAGAAGTAGAGGCTAGAGCCAAATAAAATACTCTAGGTTACAAAGTAAGGGAGAGAGTCGAAATCTGAACCCTGGTCCAACTGACTTCTTCAATCCTCTTTACTTTCAGTCATAAAAAGACAACATATTGTAATTATAGTAAAAAGCTAATTGGTGGTTAGGAATCTTGCAGCTAAACTTAATGTGTTATTGGTTTTGTGCAAGTGCTTTCAGCTGTAGCCTCAGTATTTGTAAAATGGGGTGGAGGCGATGTTGAGTAGTTGAGCTCTAAGGTATCTTCTTGCTGTATTAGTGGCTGTTCTGTGGACTTCAGCTATTGTTCTCTTCGCTGTCTTCCCCCAGATTTCTGGAAAAAATGTTTTGTTAGCTCTTTGTCAGTAATTCTGCCTCTCTTCCTGTTCTGCTTAATGAGTGACTCCCCAGGTGTTTACTCTTTCGTCCAGAAGTTTTTCTTCTTTCAGCTGCTTCTCCCAGAAATGTTCAGTCCTATTGCTTCACCATAATGTTTTGCTCATTTCACTTCTGCCCACGTAAAGGCTGCCAGTGATTCAGGCTGGATCAGTATATCCTGGTGATTATGGTATCATTTCCAGGAAAAGGGCCAAGCACTTACCGAACCCCTTCGTTATGGCAGGTGCCGTGTGGCCAGTGCAGTATTGTGAAAGTTTGTTTTCCCCATGTTTCTCCCTTTGGCTAACCCAATTGCTCATGCATTGCGGGGAGAGATGTGGCAGGGTAGAAAGCAAAACCCACTGCAGTTCACTCTGGTTTTGAGATTTTCAGGACCAACGCGCTTAGTAGAATGTATATGAGTTTTTTTGAGATGGAGTCTCACTCTGTCGCCAGACTGGAGTGCAGTGGTGTGGTCTCGGCTCACTGCAACCTCTGCCTCCAGGGTTCAAGCGATTCCCTTGCCTCAGTCTCCCAAGTAGCTGGGACTACAGGCGTGCACCACCACACCTGGCTAATTTTTTGTATTTTAGTAGACACGGAGTTTCACCATGTTGGCCAGCATGGTCTCGATCTCCTGACCTCGTGATCTGCCTGCCTTAGCCTCCCAAAGTGCTGGGATTACAGGCATGAGCCACCGCGCCCAGCCTAGAATGTATATGATTTTTTTAAGAGAAATGAAAAGGAAGCAGATTCTCATGCTTTGATAGAATGTCTTAGCTGGATGTGAAGAAAGGATTACTTCCACACTAAAAAATGAGGATCCTAGGTCCCCAGAGAGGTCACCGCAGAGCCACTGGGGAGACAACGTCCCGAGAAAAAGCTGCAGCAGAGTGTGCCTGGGCAGCTGGGGCTGCGGGCAGCCTGGGAAAGAGGCCCCTTGGCCTGATGTCCACATGGAAGCAGCAGGGACCCCTAGGACTCACGGGTCAGGCTCCCGGGACAACAGGCTCTCCAAGGTAACTCCTGTGCAGAGCTTGACACCGTGTGGGAGTTTGTAGCATATCTCGGAGGGGGCAGTGGGATACCTCGAAAAGATTGAATTCAAGCATCTTCCCAGTCTGCTGTGAAGGGGAGTTTGAAATAAAAATTCAGCTGGTTTAGAGAAAATGTGATATTTTGTGCATATCCAAGTTTCTGTATTGTGGATTGATACATAAATATATATATGCATATGTAAAGAGAGATAGCTGTTTATATATATTTATATAGATCTATCTATAGCTATACCTCTCTCTGCATATATATACATAACTCTAAATATATACGTGTGTGTATAGATAGATATACAGATATATGTGGAGAGAAACAGAGCCTATATCTAGGTAATCTAACCTTAACCTTTAACAAAATACTGATGTAGTTCTTTTTCTTTTTTCTTTTTTTCTTTTTCTTCAGAGGCAGGATCTGGCTCTGCCACCCAGGCTGGAGTGCAGTGGGGTGATCATAGCTCACTGTAGCCTCCACCTTCCTGGGCTCAAATAATCCTCTCACCTCAGCTACCAAGCAGCTGGGACTACAGGCATAAAACACCATGCCCATCTAATTTGATTTTTGTAGAGGTGGGGTCTCACTATGTTGCCCAGGCTGGTCTCAAACTCTGGAGCTCAAGCAATCCTCATGCCTTGGCCTCCCAAATTGCTGGGATTACAGACGTGCACCACCGTACCTGGTCTGTGAGGCAGCTCTTACTGCCATTTTCTGGGGTGAGGAAACAAGCCCAGGCAGATTTGGTTATTTACTTCTCGCCCCAAGGCCAGAGGAAGCAGAGCCAGGGTTTCAGCCAAGGTCACTTCCTTTGGGACAATCTTGCAAATGGAGGCCAGGCAAGGTGGCTCACACCACTAACACCAACATTTTGCGGGGGGTCTAGGCATCCAGATCACTTGAGTCTAGGAGTTTGAGACTAGCCTGGGCAACATGGTGAAAACCCGTGTCTACAAAAAATACAAAAAAATTAGCTGGGTATGTTGTTACACACTTGTAGTCCCAGCTACTTAGGAGGCTGAAGTGGGAGAATCACCTGAGCTGGGAGGTCCAGTCTGCAATGAGCCCTGATCACATCATTACATTCCAGCTGAGGCAAGAGTGAGAGCCTGACTTTAAAAAAAAATGAATAGTGCCCCACTTTCACTCCCCGAAGTGTTTGCATTTGGTTAACAAATTTTAACTTCATCCACATTTGATGACCACAGCGCTCTCCATCACTTCCTGCTGCCTCATTTTCGAAAGCAAAGAGAGTAGGAGGAACCCCTGGTGCTTGGGGCACATGCCCTGCAGGGTGCATGCCCTTTACAAAGTCATGGGAGCTGCGGCTCCAGGAGTCAGACATCGAGCAGCTTGGAGCATTTGGCTTCCTTCCTTTGCGTGCCTGGAGCATTCACAGAAAGCCTGCACAGCAAGCGAGAGAGTGCTGGGGAGGGTGGAAGCTGTTTGGATTAGGGTCCCCAGGGGTTTTGTGGTTCAAAGCAGGTGGAGCACATTTTGAGGGCCTGATGATGTATACCATTTAGGAAGCCATTTAAAAGACAAAGAATACAAAAGTATGAATACAAAATTTGGCAGTAAAGTGAATATTTAGAGACTAGAAGTCACAACAAACCAAAAGTTTCAAAAAGCTGGGGGGAGAAAAGCCACAAGATCACCAAATCCAGGAAAAATAAATCTCTACAATTTTTCCTGGATTTAAAAAATTTTATTTTCAATTGACAAAATTCTGTATATTGTTGGCAACATGTTGTTTTGAAATATGTGTATATTGTAGAATGGTTATTAAATTGAGCTAATTAACATATGCCTTACCTCACATACTTTTCATGTTTTTGTAGTTCAAACATTTAAAATCTACTCTTAGCAATTTTTAAGAATACAATTATGTTGGCTTTTTTTTTTTTTTTTTTTTTTTTTTTTTTTTTTTTTTTGAGACGCAGTCTTACTCTGTCACCCAGTCTGGAGTGTAATGGCCCGATCTCTGCTCAATACAACCTCCACTTCCCAAGTTCAAGCGATTCTCTTGCCTCGGCCTCCCAAGTAACTGGGATTACAGACACGTGCCATCATGCCTGGATAATTTTCGTATTTTTTTTTTTCAGTAGAGACCCAGTTTTGCCATGTTGGACAGGTTGGTCTCGAGCTCCTGACCTCAGGTGATCTGCCCGCATCAGCCTCCCAAAGTGCTGGGATTACAGGTGTGAGCCACCACGCCCAGCTCAATATATTGTTATTAACCAGAGTCACCATGTTTTACAATAGACCTCTTGAACTTATTTCTTCTATTTCACTGAAATTTTGCATCCGTTAACCAACATCTCCCCAGCCACCCAGCCTCTGGTAACCACCACTCTACTCTCTGTTTCCATGCAATCGACATTTTTAGATTTCACATTGTATAACAGTGAAACAGCAAAAGAACATAACTAACTCCATTATTGTTTAAGGGGCCTTCACCCATTCCAGCATATAGGCTAGGATAATTTTAGAGCACGAGATAAAACACAAAAACAGCCATCTGAGATTAAAGGAGAAGTATGTAAACTACATTTTGTTAAAGATTTATAGGAGTGGAGCACAGTGGCTCACACCTATACTCCCAGCACTTTGGGTGGGAGGATCACTTGAGTCCAGGAGTTCAAGACCAGTCTGGGCAACATAGTGAGACCCCATATTTACAAAAAAATGGAAAAATTAGCCACACATGGTGGCGTGTACCTATAGTCCCGGCCACTGGGACTGAGGCAGGAGGATGCTTGAGCCCAGGAACTTGAGGCTGCAGTGAGCCATGATCATGCCCCTGCATTCCAACCTGAGTGACAGACCAAGATCCTATTAACAATAAAAAATAAAAAATAAAAAGATTTATAGGAGCATTGTGACCTGACCAAAAGCTAAGACTTTCCCCACCTTCTAGGGCCCTTACTGGCACCCAGATGTCTGTGGTCAACAGTCACCTATTGATCCCATGCCCCTCCTCTTCCTTCTGCTCTTAACATAAAAAGAGACTGAAATTTATCCTGACTTAAGGTGGCACTTTAGGATGCTATTATCTTCTTGGTTTACTGGCTCTCTGAACAAACCTGGCTTTTGTCCCACCAACACTTTTTTTTTTCGAGATGGAGTTTAGCTCTTGTTGTTGCCCAGGCTGGAGTGCAATGGCAAGATCTGATCTCTTGGCTTGCTGCAACCTCCACCTCCCAGGTTCAAGCAATTCTTCTGCCTCAGCCCCCCAAGCATCTGGGATTACAGGCACGTGCAACCACGCCTGACTAATTTTGTATTTTTAGTAGAGACGGGGTTTCATCATGTTGGTCAGGCTGGTCTCGAACTCCTGACCTCAAGTGATCCACCTGCCTCAGCCTCCCAAAGTGCTGGGATTACAGGCGTGAGCCACCACACCCGGCCTGTCCCACCAACTCTTGTATCTCATGTTTGACTTTTGGTGAGTACCTGAACCTGGGTTTGGTTACAACACATAAATGAGATCATGCAGTATTTGTCTTTTTGTGCTTGGCTTATCTGACTTAGCATAATATCCTCCAGGTTCATCCATGTTGTCACAAATGACGGAATTTCCTTTTTTTAAGGATGAATAGCATTCCACTGTGTATATATGCCGTACATCCCACATTGTCTTTATCCACTCATCTGCTGCTGGACACTTAGGATGCTTCCATATCTTGGCTATTGTGAATAGTGCTGCAATGAACATGGGAGTGCAGATGTCTCTTCAACGTACTGATTTCACTTCCTTTGGATAGATACCCAGTAGTGGGATTACTGTAGCATGGCAGTTCTATTTTGAATTTTTCAAAGTATCCCCATACTGTTTTGCATAAGGGCTGTAGTCATTTATATTTCCAGCAATAGTATTGAAATATAAATAACTATACAAACTTATAAATATAAATCATCTCCACATCCTCTCCAACACTTGCTATCTTTCGTCTTTTTGATAATAGCCATTCTAACAGGTATGTGGTGATATATTATTGTGGTTTTACTTTGCATTTCTTTGATTAGTGATGTTGAACTTTTTTTTTTTCATATACCTATTGGCCATTTGTATGTCTTCTTTTGAGAAATGTCATTTCCTGTATCATCTGGCTATATTCTCTTTGCTGGCCCCAACATGTGACGACAATTTTGTAATATCATTTTCCATGGAGAGAAGAGAAAGATACTCAGTCTTTCCTCCGGCGCAGTTGATCAAGTTTGTTTTTTATGGTAAGACTTCACACATAGGTGTACTTGCTATTTATCGTATTGCTATAAGTTTGTGCCAAAGAGGCACAGGAGTTCTGATGAATTCTATTTTCTTTCACTATTCCCATCAGGAAAGAAAACTGATGAATGGTACATTTATAAATGTTTATGTTGCATTCACAAGCATATTCCTGGTGAAAAACTTACTTTTGATGAGACATTAATAAAAATCTGCTTCTCTGTTTACAGTATTAAGTCAGGTGATTGAAAGGTTATTTACCAAGAACTTCAACTAGACTTCTTAACAGCAACAAAAACTAGAATGCAGAGGACTAATTTATATTGTTTATGGATGTATATTTATGTAGAAGAAGTAAGAAAGCAGATGTGGGGATGATATACACTAATTTTTTTTTTTTTTTGAGATGGAGTCTCGCCCTGTTGCCCAGGCTGGAGTGCAGTGGCACAATCTCGGCTCACTGCAACCTCTGCCTCCCATGTTCAAACGATTCTCCTGCCTTAGCATCTCGAGTAGCTGGGATTAGACGCACTCGCCACCATGCCCAGCTAATTTTTTATTTTTAGTAGAGATGGAGTTTCACCATGTTGGCCATGCTGGTCTCGATCTCCTGACCTCAAGTGATCCACCTGCCTTGACCTCCTAAAGTGCTGGGATTACAGATGTGAGCCACTGTGCCCAGCCCATACACACGAATTTTGAATAGAGTTATATCCAGGGATGGAGGGAAAGAGAGGATGATGCACACTGGGTGAGGCAGTAGCTGGACTGTAATATTTTGTTTATTAAGTAAATAGCATGTTTACTGAAAAGATGGGTTTGAAGCAAATAAGATAAAATATTAACAGCTGTTTTATCTTGGTGGTATACCACACAATTTATCATTTTCTGTGTCTTTTGTATGCCTGAATTGTTTCACATTTTTAAAAACTGTTTTAAGATATATTTCCTTTTCCCGTTCATTATGTTTAAAGAATGCCAATCAGTTAAAGGACTGAAATTGAGAGTGAATTTCTGGTATTTCTGATCAAGGAGAGTAAATCATTGGATCAACTTCTCATAAACTTGGTGGAGATAAATGTAAAAAGAAAAAAATGACGCTGAACTTCTTTTCTGAAACTGAGCTAGCACTTCCGAAAAGAGCAAAATCACAGAACCCAGATCCATTAAGCTTGTTCTTTGGCTCATGCAATTACATACACGAGTTCTTACATCCAACATTCAGACCTCTGTATCTCCTGCTTTGCATTCAGGAACATTTATAGTCAATGAATATCTGAATACCTAATAGAATTACTAATGGTGATTTTGGAATTCCATTTTTCTAAGTTTTTTGTTTGTTTGTTTGTTTGTTTTAATACAAAGTTCCTTTGGTCAATGACTTAGCTGTGGTCTCGCCTAGATACAGGGAATGGACTTCTCCAAGTCCCCAAGTATCTCTTGTGAGTTCATCACACGGTTACATAACATATTTCCCTGGCTTATTGCCTTAATTGGCCTCCAGAATTTTCTAATTTGGGAAAGTGTTCCCAGAAAACAAGATAGAGGGATTGGGAAGAGTGACACAGGGAAGGAAGGAAGGCAAATGGGAGTGCAATCTCAGCTTGTTCACTCCTGGAGGCAGCTGAGGCATGACTGCGCAGGGGCTCCTAATGAGCCACGGAGTGACTTCAGAATGGACGGCCTGTGCGCCTGAAAGAGGGAGGGAACCTTTATTCATCAATTTCCAGCTCCGATTCTCCAAGGGGTGTTCTTGGGGCATGAATTCTCTTGTGCGTTGGGATGATGCTTGTGTGAGTGCTGGGCCGATTGTGGCAGGTGTTCCATGCTGTGGTGTCAAAATGCAAGAGATATGCTGCAGCAGAGGGGAGGTGCTGGGAGGTTTCATCTGCTCGAAGCTGCTTGCTCTAGCAATAGCTAGAGTAAGAGATGGACGAAGGGTATGAGCCAGGGCCTAAGTTTTGTGCCATCAGGTGATCCTGAGAAAATGGCAATCTCCTGGGTTGTGTGAAACGAAAACCTACTGCTCTGCCCTTCTTCAGTCACACAAGAGAAGACAAATCCGTGTGTTGTTCCTGTCACTCAGGGGGCAAAACCGCACATCAGGGTTGCTGACTTTTAGCACTGAAAATTATTATTTTTTATTATTATGTGTTTGAATCAAACAATATTATATGAAATAGGCCATGTCCTGGTTTTCGGAGAAAGCAGTAAATCCATTCCAGAGTCCCTCGGGAGTGTCCCAGTGCAATGCATTTGGAGAAAATGCTCTTCATGAAAGGCCATTAGGGTTATTACATCCTTAATAAAATAGGCAAAAAGAAGGCATTTTTCCCCTTTTACATTTTATGTTATAAGTGTGTGTTGGCCGGGCGTGGTGGCTCACGCCTGTAATCCCAGCACTTTGGGAGGCCGATGTGGGCGGATCACGAGGTCAGGAGATTGAGACCATCTTGTGAATGGTGAAACCCCGTCTCTACTAAAAATACAAAAAATTAGCTGGGTGTGGTGGCGGGCGCCTGTAGTCCCAGCTACTCGGGAGGCTGAGGCAGGAGAATGGCGTGAACCCGGGAGGCGCAGCTTGCAGTGAGCTGAGATTGCGCCACTGCACTCCAGCCTAGGTGACAGAGTGAGACTCCGTCTCAAAAAAAAAAAAAAAAAGTGTGTGTTATAAGGATAATGATGATGCAAGGGCTTCATTAGGACAAAATGTTGCCTAAACTGCATTTTTTTTTTTTTTTGAGACAGGGTCTCACTCCCATCACCCAGACAGGAGTGCCGTGGTGTGAACATGGCTCACTGCAGTCTTGACTTCCCTGGGCTCACTTAGGTGATTCTCTCACCTCAGCCTCCCAAGTAGCTGAGATTACAGGCGTGCACCACCACACCCAGCTAATTGTTCATAGTTTTGGTAGAAACTGGGTCTCACCATGTTGCCCATGCTAGCCTCAAACTCCTGACCTCAGGTGATCCACCCTCCTCGGCCTCCCAAAGCGCTGAGATTACAGGCGTGAGCCACCATGCCTGGCCAAAACTGCATTATTTATCTCGATTTTCAACTTTGGATTCTCTAAGTAGCCATGATTCACCCTCACTGGATTTGGAGAAAGCAAAAAAATACGTGAAAATATTTTTTATCTTAGACTCTAAGATCATAATGAGAAGCTTATAACTAAGGCTGTCTTACAAACACCTGCGATAACCTGCTAGAAATGTCAATATCAATATACACGCCATGTCTGCACCTGTCTAGTTACAACTGTTGGCTGCACATCTGGGGAAACCGAGGAAGAATACACCCCAAAGTGCGGGGAGCCTGATGAGTTCACCAAACCCCAGGCTACCAGGAGGAAAGGAAATCCCTGGAGCCTTGAGTTAGGTGGTTTTTAAATAAAACAGTGGGCAGAATTATTTTGTGCTTCAATAGGAAATGTATGGGCATCCCCTCACCAAGAGGCTCTATGTCATCCTGCTGAATTGCTTGAAAAAAGAACCCAGGCAATCCACGCATGACAGAGTCATAATGTTTTGTGAGAGAAATGAAAAGGCGTTTGGGGTGTGTTGGGACTGACATCTGGAAGGGAATCACGTGCGGCTCCGTACTCTATTCCCGTGACTCCAAAATCAGAGACGGTTGGCAGAAACAGACCACTCACCGAAGCCAGGGGCGGTGCCAGGGGAAGACAGGAGGCTGATATTTGTTGCTGAACACCCATCATGCGCCACATAGTGAAGTGGAAAGTGGTTGCTCACTTCTAGGTTTGTCTGTCTCAAAGTGAGTGTCCCGCTGCTCCAAACCACGCAGGGTCCGGCTACCAGCTGCGCCCGCTGCTCTCCAGACATTGAACAGGGATCTCGGCAGTCTCCAGGCCTCAGGGTCAGCCTGGTCGTAAGGGTCTCGGACTCAACCCTGGCAGCCAGCTGGGATCGCTTCCAGGCAAGGGTCACAGGACATTACATACTGTCCAATTTTATCTGAGTCAGCGAAAGAGCTCATGTTGCTCAAGGAATTCTACAGGGATTTGCCCAGAGTGGAGTAGGCTAGAATGAAAAACTAGCACATCGAAGGAAGAAAAATAACTTCAGTGTTTCCAAATTGTGTTTCTGGATACCTGGGATCATGAGACTCTAGGAAAATCTGATCGGCTTTTTGTTGTGTTTCATCCCAAAGCAGCCGGCTGACTAAGAGGATGAGACCATTACCGTGAACCGCAGCAGCAGCAGCCAGGCCATTTTCTATCCTATGTTTTAACTGGCAAAGCGCTGCCATATACTTATGTCACAGAATGCTCAGAATAACTCTGTTGGCATGTTTTACTGACCCACCACACAGATGAGGAGAGATGGAGTGTACTAGTGACCTCCCCACAGTCAGAGCTTCTTTGTGGTAAGGCCGGCGTTACCACCTGGATCTGTTGACTGTGGCTCCAGGGGACATTCTGTGACACGGGAGAACCTGAGTTGAGACCGACTTCATCCAGGGTGCACTGGGAATCTGCCTGTGTATCCCACAGATGTTTCAGGCTTACCATGTTCTAAATTCAACCCCTGATCTCCCATCTTACACCAAGCCCACTCTACCTGCAGCCTTCCCCACCTCAGTTACAGCAATGCCATTCTTTTTTTTTTTTATGTGTTTTTGATAAATCTATTCTCCCCCAGCTTTATTGAGCTATAACTGACAAATACAATTATATAAATTTTAGGGGTACAATGATGATTTGATATGTTTATATATTGTGAAATGATTACCATAATCAAGTGAGTTAAGATGTCCCTTGCCTTCTGTGGTTATGTGAAAGGAAAATAAAATCTCTGGGACCTCAAACCCCCTATGGCAAAGGGAAAAGTTAAGTTTGGGAGCTGAGTCATGCAAAAAACAACAATGACAACAAAAAACAAAACCTGCTTTCCTTTTGTTCCTAGACTCACAGCTGCAGGATAGAAGGCCACATACCTCTCCAGGTGGCTTCCCTCACCCTGTGTATTAGTTCATTTTCATGCTGCTGATAAAGACACACCCGAGACTGGGCAATTTACAAAAGAAAGTGGTTTAATTGGACTTACAGTTCCACGTGGCTGGGGAAGCCTCACAATCATGGCGAAGGCAAGGAGGAACAAGTCACATCTTACATGGATGGCAGCAGGCAAAGAGAAAATTTGTGCAGGGGAAATCCTCTTTTTAAAACCATCAGATCTCGTGAGACTTATTCACTGTCAAGAGAATAGCATGGGAAAGTCTTGCCCCCATGATTCAATCACCTTCCACCAGGTCCCTCCCACAACGTGTGGGAATTCAAGATGAGATTAGGATGGGGACACAGCCAAACCAGATCACCCTGACAATGTAAGATAACTAACAGCTTATCTTCACGGGTGTGGAACAAAGACAAGACTAGAAATCATCCCTCTGCCCACCCCAAAACAAATGCATATTTGACTTCTTTCTCTACTCTATTTTTATCTTATGTAAAATGCAGATTTACTGAGCGTGACAAGAATGTGTAATTGACTGTTCCTCTATACCCTCCTCTCACATGTAACATGTGAATTCAGTAAGCACTAATGAAAGTTTCACAAGAATATAACCACTTATCTGGCTACCTACCCACTCTTTTCTTTCCTTTTTCCCCTCCTGCTGCTCTTTCCCCTTTAAATATTGAAGTCTTCAAAACCCTCTTTGGAAAATACATGGGCCACAGATTGTATGGGAACTTGTGTTTCTTTTTCCCAGTGCATCCTCAACCTTGGCAACATGAACCTCTAAATTGATCAAGGCCTGTCTCAGACACTTTTTGGTGTACAATTACCTTCTGTGTGTGTCTGTGTGTGGTGAGAACATTTAAGATCTGCTCTCTCTTAGCAAATCTCAAGTATATAATAATCAGTAACCATAGACACCATGCTGTACAGTAGATTTCCAGAACTTATCTTCTATCTGAAAGTTTGTACCATTTGACCAACCTCTCTCCATTTCTCTCACTCCCCAGCCCCTGGCAACCACACCTCTCATCTCTGCTTCTAAGTTTGACTTTTTTAGATTCCAAATGAGTGAGGTCACCCAGTATTTCTTTCTCTGACTCTTTATTTCACTGAACATACTGTGCTCTGGGCTCACCTATGTTGTGTCAAATGATAGGATTTTCTTCTTTTAAGGCTGAATATTATTCTGTTGTGTATATATACTCCATTTTCTGTATTCATCTGTTGACAGACAGGTTGATTCTACACCTTGGCTATTGTGAATAGTGCTGCCATGGACACGGGAGTGCAGATATTTCTTTGAGATACTGATGTTGTTTCCTGTGGATATATATCAGAAGTGGGATTGGTGGATCTCATGGTAGTTCTATTTGTAATTTTTGGAGGAAGCAGCTCCATATTGTTTTCCATAATGGGGTACTAGTTTATGTTTCCACTAACAGCTTAGAAGTGTTCACTTTTCTCCACATCCTTACCAACCCTTGTCATGGCTTGTCTTCTATAGTAGCCATCCTGACATGTATAAGGTGCTGTCTCATTGTGGTATTGATTTGCATTTCCTTGATGGTTCATGATGTTCCGCATCTTTTCATGTACTTGTGGGACATTTTGGTGTCTTCTTTGAAAAACGTCTTCAGGTCCTTAAGCCAACTTTGTTTTTTCAGTTACCCAAGTAAGCAAATAAACAAACAAACAAAATCCTTACAGTCATCGTTGTCTCTATTTTTCTCTCACACCCACATTCGATTTGTCATGAAATGCCATGAACTTGACCTTTAAAAATATCCAGAATTTGGCCACTTCTCACCACCCTCACAGCTGTCACCCTGGTCTGAATCACCGTTGACATTTGCATGGATTCTTGCAATGGCCTCCTAATTGGTCTCCCTGCTTCTTCCCTTTGTCCCCAATATAATAGCCAGAGTTATCTTTTTTTTTTAGACAGGGTCTTCCTCTGTCACCCAGGCTGGAGTGCAGTGGCACCATCTCTACTCACTGCAACTTCCACCTCCCCGGTCTCAAACGATCCTCCCACCTCAGCCTCTGGAGTAGCTGGAACCACAGGCAGGCACCAGCATGCCCAGCTATTTATTTTGTAGTTTTTGTAGAGGTAGGGTTTTGCCATGTTGCTAGGCTGGTCTCAAACTCCTGGACTCAAGGCATCTGCCCACCTTGGCCTCCCAAAGTGTTGGGATTACAGGTGTGAGCCACCGTACACAGCCCAAGGTGTTTTTGTTTTGTTTTGTTTTGTTTTGTTTTTGAGATGGAGTCTCACCTGTCGCCAGGCTGGAGTGCAGTGGCACAAACTTGGCTCACTGCAACCTCCACCCCCCAGGTTCAAGCGATTCTCCTGCCTCAGTCTCCTGAGTAGCTGGGACTACAGGTGCACGCCACCGCACTCAGCTAATTTCTGTAGTTTTAGTACAGATGGGTTTTCACCATGTTGGCCAGGATGGTCTCTATCTCTTGACCTTGTGATCTGCCTGCCTCGGCCTCCTGAAGTGCTGGGATTGCTTACAGGCGTGAGCCACTGCGCCCGTCCCAGAGTGATCTTTCAACAGGTGACTTAGATAATAAGTCTCTGCTCAGAACCCTGTACTAGCTCATTTCACTCAGTGTAAAAACTAAAGTTCTTACAACGATGACAAAGTCCTCTTTGTTTGTCCCACCCCATTGCTGTGATGACCTCCAGTAGGAGGAGTAGCTACTACGTGCTTCTAATCTACTCCAGCCACCCCGGCTTCCTTACCACTCCTCCGGCATCTCAGGCACGCTTACTCCAAGGTCTTTGCTCTAGATGTTCCATCTTCTTCAAATGCTCTTTCCTCATATTTTGCTTAGCCAACTCCCTCACCTCCTTCAAGTCTTCTCGGGGTTTGAAGAACTGAGAACTGTCTAACACCACATCCTGCTCCGTATCATTGCATTCCAACCCTGCACGCCCGATTCTTTTTTTCTACAACCCTTATTTCCTTCTATGTTACTATATACAGGTAACCGGTAAACTGCGCTATTATTCAAATACATACTCTGACCCTCTCAGGAGGATTATCCTTTCCCCACCCCATTGGCCTTGGACATGGCTACGTGACTGGGTCTGATTGCTGACATAGAAGCAAAAGCATTGTTACTTGTAGGCAGAAGTTACAGGAGCCAGCGTGTGGTTTACCATGTTCTTTATCCTGCCATAATGCCTTTTGCATCTGACTTCTTTCACTTAGCAGTAGTATTTTTGAGTTCACCCATTTTTGAGTTTATGACACCTTGTTCCTTTTCATTGCTGAATAGTATTCCAAAATGTGACTGAACTACAATGTGTTTATTCAGAGTTGCAGATAATGGCTACTCCATCAGGCTGGGTCCTAGAAAGATGACAATCTGTCACAGAGCTGTAGTTAACCAGTAATTGTCAGGTCTCATGGGTCAGAAATGAACTATTGTGCTAGAAGCCACTGAGATTCTGCAAACTAACCTAATTGATGCATATCTGTGTTTTCTGCTCATTGATGGATCAGAAGCATATAGAAAGAGTTTGGAGTGTAGCAGGTCTTTAATAAATATTTGTTAAATGAATAGATGCTGAGGAATGTGATTTAAGGAATGGCAGGAATATTCCAGTCTTGAAATATCCTTCCCTCTCTGCTTTCTGAAACTTGAAACTGTAGTATTATAAATGTACCCTTTTAGGTTAAGTATTATTACTCACTTTTAACATTATTAGAAGTATGCCATAATTGTTTTAATTAGTATTTTTAGTATAAATGATGTGTTAAACATGATTTGGGACAAAGAAAACACATGCTAGTAATTGGAAAGAGTGCTAAAAAATTATCTCTCTATTCGTCAAATGACTTACAGGTGAATAACTCCTGTTCTAGAAACTGAACCGTAAAAAAATTGGGCCCCCTTTTTAAAAATCATTACACAATTTATCTCTGATTCTCAAACTTCTGTTATCATTAACATTATTTTTTAAGTTTTATAATTTTTTTTTTTTTTTGAGGCAGAGTGTCGCTCTGTTGCCCAGGCTGGAGTGCAGTGGCGCCATCTCGGCTCTCTGCAACCTCCGCCTCCCAGGTTCAAGCCATTCTCCTGCCTCAGCCTCCCAAGTAGCTGGGATTACAGGCTAGCGCCACCATGCCTAGCTAATTTTTGTATTTTTTAGTAGAGAAGGGGTTTCACCATGTTGGCCAGGCTGGTCTCAAACTCCTGACCTCAGGTGATCGACCTGCCTCTCCTCCCAAAGTGCTGGGATTACAGGTGTGAGCCACCGTGCCCAGCCAAGTTTTATAATTTTAAAATAGCTTTATTGAGATACAATTTACATATAATAAAATTTGCTAATTTCAGGTATACAGTTCGATGGCCTAAAATAATTTTTTTTACACAGAGTCTTGCTGTGTGGCCCAGGCTGGAGTGCAGTGATGCGATCACAGCTCACTGCAACCTCTGCCTCCCGGGTTCAAGCGGTTCTTGCGCTTCCGTGACGTCACAAGGGCGCGCCTTCCGTGACGTCACAAGGGGCGCCTTCCGTGACGTCACAAGGGCGCGCCTTCCGTGACGTCACAAGGGCGCGCCTTCCGTGACGTCACAAGGGCGCGCCTTCGCCGACACCATAGCGGTGGGCCTTTGGCGACGTCAGAGGCGCGGGTGTTCGCCTACGTCACTGGGGCGCTACGGTGCCTGGAGCTGGGCGGTCTTCTCGTCAGAGTGGGGACTGGTGAGAGCGACCTCCCCGCCAGGTCCTGTGTGTTGCCGGCTGAAGAAGGGTAGCTGAAAAATTCAGACCCAGCACAGTGTTTATGTTGGTCAAAAATAGAAAACTATGGCGCGGCCGAGGCGGGAGGACCCTTCAGGCCAAGAGCAGCCTAGCAACATGGCGCAACCCCATCTCTGTAGTCCTACCTCAGCCCCCCAGCTACTTGAACCCAAAGATTCAAGGCTCCAGTGAGCTATGATCCCACCACAGCATTCCAGCCTGCGAGATTGAGGTAAACCCTGTGTAAAAAAATTAAAAAACTATCCAGGTGTGCAATAAAACATGAGGCTGGCTGGGCCCTACTGTAATCCCAGCACTTTGGGAGGCCGAGGCGGGAGGATGGATGGCTTGGGCTCAGGAGTTCGAGACCAGCCTGGGCAACATGACGAAACCCCGTCTCTACAGAAGATACAAAAATTAGCCGGGCGCGGTGTGCACCTGGCCTAATTTTTGTATTTTTTTTCTAGAGATGGGGTGGGGTGGGGGCTCGCTATGTTGCCCGGGCCAGTTTCGAACTCCTGAGTTGAGGCGATCTTCTCACCTTGGCCATCAGAGTTGTCGGGATTACAGGTGTGAGGGACAGCGCCCCACCTGGGTTAGGCTACTTAATAACATAAGAAAGTGCTCCGCCAGGCTCAGTGGCTGACACCTGTAATCCCAACACTTTGGGAGGCCGAGGCGGGTGGATCACCTGAGGTCAGGAGTTGGAGACCAGCCTGGCCATGGTGAAACCCAGTCTCTACAAAAAATACAAAAATTAGCCGGCCGTGGTGGCGCATGCCTGTAGTCCCAGCTACTTAGGAGGCTGATAAAGGAGAATTACTTGAACCCGGGAGGCGGAGGTTGCATTGGGCCGAGATCGCACCACTGCACCCCAGCCTGGGCGACACAGCGAGACTCCAAAGTTTGACACCAGCCTGGGCAATGTAGTGACACCCTGTCTCTACAAAACAAACAAACAAAAACCCAGGCATAACTGTGTCCACCTGTGGCCCTAGCTAGTTAGGAGGCTGAGGCAGGAGGATCACTTGAGGCCAGGAGCTCAAGGCTGCAGTGAGCTATGATAATCCCACTGCTTCCCATCCTGAGCAATAGAATGAAAGCATGTCTCTAGCTAGCTAGCTAGCTAGCTAGCTAGATAATT
The DNA here is from genome assembly GCF_000001405.40 of Homo sapiens. Classification (NCBI taxonomy): domain Eukaryota; kingdom Metazoa; phylum Chordata; class Mammalia; order Primates; family Hominidae; genus Homo; species Homo sapiens. The sequence continues at coordinate 243,100,473 of NC_000001.11, read as the reverse complement.
GATACGGAGTTTTGTATCAAATTTTTTCCCTAGATTTGAGCATGTTTTTCTAAAGTAGCATTCAATACATCAGCATTTTACAGTGTTATTATTTGTTAATATGATTATGTTTTTCTGAAATACAGTGTCCTTTACAAAAGCAGTTTTGTCTTTCAAAGGACATAGATAAGGCCCTCAAGTGAATTTGTTTGATGTTGGCGACCTTGGTACCATTTTGTCCACTTGATTGGAAAAGCCAGTCAATAATCTCAGGTCACTGTTGGCCTTAGAAGAAGAGCCCAAAGGCAACAAGCAAAGGCGCTGGTGTCCAGTCGCCTTCTAGAAGCATTTTCACTTTCCCTTAAGGTTTCCCTTGATGAACATAGAAGTACTGTATGTAGAATTGACCCAGTGCTGCCCTGGCAACTTTGTATATTAGCCCAAATTTACATTTCTTACCTTTATGAGAGGCACCCTGGTAGGCTAGTGGAGTTACACACAAAGTCTGATCTCAGCTGCACTGTCCAGAGATGCAACACGGTCCAATCAAATAACATTCTCTGAGCCCGTTTCTTTAGCTGTGAAAGAAGAATAACACCCATCTAAAAAGGCAGCTTATTGTATTTGATTGGTCTTTTATTTTCTATGAAACTGTGTTTAACACAGTAATTATTTTCATTTGTATACTACATTTGTGTTGTGTTTTTGGTTTTAGTTTTGTTTTTGAAATGGAGTCTTTCTTTTAGTGGTTTTTTGTTTTGTTTTGTTTTGTTTTTGAGATGGAGTCTTTCTATTGTCACCCAGGCTAGAGTGCAGTGGCGTGATCTCCACTCACTGCAACCTCCACCTCCCAGGTTCAAGTGATTCTCCTGCCTCAGCCTCCTGAGAAGCTGGGATTACAGGTGCCCACCACCACGCCCAGCTAATTTTTTAAATATATTTTTAGTAGAGATGGGGTTACAACATGTTGTCCAGGCTGGTCTCAAACTACTGACGTCAAGTGATCCACCCGCCTTGGCTCCCCAAAGTGCTGGGATTATAGGCATGAGCCACCGCGCCTGGCTTGTTTTAAAATAAGGGTTTCTTGGCTAGGCATGGTGGCTCACACCTGTAATCCCAGCACTTTGGGAGGCCAAGGTCAGTGGATCACCTGAGGTCAGGAGTTCGAGACCAGCCTGACCAATATGGAGAAACCCTGTCTCAACTGAAAATACAAAATTAGCCAGGCGTGGTGGTGCATGCCTGTAATTCCAGCTACTCAGGAGGCTGAGGAAGGAGAATTGCTTGAACCCAGGGGGCAGAGGTTGCAGTGAGCTGAGATCGCACCATTGCACTCCAGCCTGGGCAACGAGCAAAACTCTGTCTCAAAATAAAAAAAAGATTTCTTAAAATGATATTTTCAGTATTTTATAGATGATGTGTAAGCAGCAATCTTAATAGGATGTTACCCGACACTTTGCGAGACTGGCAGCTGATTTGATCCAGATGTCTCTAATTCTTTTTTCTTCTTCTTTTTCTTTTTCTTTTTCTGTGTTTTTTTTTTTTTTTTTTTTTTTTTGACAGAGCCTTGCTCCGTCCCCCATGCTGGAGTGCAGTGGCACGATCTCGGCTCACTGCAACCTCCACCTCCCGGGTTCAAGCGATTCTCCTGCCTCAGGCTCCCGAGTAGCTGGGATTACAGGCGCGTGCCACCATGCACAGCTAATTTTTTGTATTTTTGGTAGAGACAGCGTTTCACCATGTTGGCCAGGCTGGTCTCGAACTCCTGACCTTAGGTGATCTGCCTGCCTCGGCTTCCCAAAGTGTTAGGATTACAGGCGTCAGCCACTGTGCCTGGCCCAGATGTCTCTAATTCTAACATGAGACGTATTGCAGGATCATAGCAGAGTGAGTTGCTGATGTATCCAGAAGGAAACGAGCATGGAACTCTCACGACAGCTGTCCTGAGAAGTGTGTGTGTGCTGTACTTGAATATCTCACTGCTCATTTATACACAGGCTTTCTGGTGACTGAGTTAACAGTATCTGTTTCATAAATAATGTAGCCCTCTTTCTTTCTTTCTCTCTCTCTCTCTTTTTTTTTTTTTTTTTTTTTGAGACAGGGTCTTGCTCTGCTACCCAGGCTGGAGTGCAATGGTGCAGTCTTGGCTCACGGCAACTTCAGCCTCCTGGGTTCAAGCGATTCTCCTGCCTCAGCCTCCCAAGTAGCTGGGATTACAGGCATGCGCCACCACGCCTGGCTAATTTTTTCTTTTTTTTTTTTGAGACGGAGTTTCGCTGTTGTTGCCCAGGCTGGAGTGCAATGGCACAATCTCGGCTCACCACAATCTTTGCCTTTCGGGTTCAAGGGATTCTCCTGCCTCAGCCTCCCGAGTAGCTGGGATTACAGGCATGTGCCACCACACCCGGCTAATGTTGTAGTTTTAGTAGAGACGGGGTTTCTCTATGTTGGTTAGGCTGGTCTCAAACTCCTGACCTCAGGTGATCTACCCGCCTCGGCCTCTCAAAGTGCTGGGATCACAGGCATGAGCCATCACTCCTGGCCTAATTTTTGTATTTTTAGTAGAGAGAGGGTTTCACTCTGTTGGCCAGGCTGGTCTCGAATTCCTGACCTCAAGTTATCTGCCTGCCTCGGCCTCCCAAACTGTTGGAATTACAGGCGTGAACCACCATGCCTGGCCAGCTCTAGTTCTTTAAGCCTACATGTTTTGCACTTGTTAAAAGTATTTGAACATACAATTACTCAGCTTCCCTTGTTGACGTGTGAATTTTGTATAATCTTATTTTTTCCAATCTAAGCTTTATTTTATCCCGTTTCTTCTATATTTGTATAACTTTAGGCGGCTATCTTCATTGAAAGTTTTTTCTCAAAAGCCTTAAGATAGAACATAGTTCTTGGCAGCAATTTGAAAGTTATTTGAGGAGAAGAGGAGACTTACAATGATGATTCAAATGAAGGAAACTAAAAAGTAATGAAGCAAGGCAGAGGAAAAAGCAGTATTCACTTGAGCACATCCCAAAAGAATAACATTTCAAATGTAACTAGGAAAAAGTATGCTGAAGTTCGCAATACAGAAATAATTATTAATAAGATAGCTTTAAAGCCCTGCTCAGCTTTTGAATGTTGGGAATTGACCCAGAGGTGGCTGTAACCTAAGATGGTTCCTTCAGTAATGACCATTTTTTCTTTTTCAAGATGATGATTATTCCCCACCTTCTAAGAGACAAAGACCAACGAGCCACCACAGCCACCAGTCCCAGAACCCGCCAATGCTGGGGAACGGAAAATGAGGGAGTTCAACTCTGGTAAGTTCTCAGCGAAATCCATGACCTTTTCCTTTATCTTCTGGACTCTCAATGTGACTGATGAAAGTTACCACATGCTCTGCAGGGGGAAATGGTTTAGCATGTGTTACTACATCTTAATCACATCTTTGTAAAGCCAGGAGCATTTTACAAGTCATGTTACAGACATTGTTTAAACATAGTCTGTATTTACCAAAGTATAGGACGTTGTATCATCTCATATTAATTAGTTAGTTGGCTCAAAATGAGTGCTAATGACTTAGTAATTCAGTGATTTCTGTTAGCTTTAAAACCTTTATTTCAGAACTATTTCACCTCTTGGTTTTCATTTTTGCTGTGTGTCACTGCCTGCCGGCTGCTAATTTATTAACTCCCAGTGAATCATGTGTCCTGTGAAGGGACTGAATATTAGTGGCAATTTATGTTGATGATTTGTATTTTGAATAAATAGTTTGAATACATAGAACATTAAGCTTGTATACATTTTGAAAATAGTATTTTAATATTCTACTGTGTCATAGTTACAATGATTGGATATATATTGAATTTATATGTACTTTAAGTTGTTATATGTTTATGGTCTTTAGCATTCTAACGTGCAATTGTGTATCTGTTAAGTCTTTTTTTTTTTTCGAGATTAGACTGATTTATTGAGGCGTCTGTTTGATGCCACATTAAGTGGCCCAGGCTTTGTGTAGGGGTTGAGGTTAAAGCAGGAAGAAGGGTGGTGAGAGGCGGGGCACCAGGGTTAGGTTGGAATACCTGGGGGTGCTCTGAGGCTCCCCAAGTTTCCCTGGTCTTGGCCGGCTGTGCTGCTGGCCTGGGCATCTGATGGGCCTGCAAGGGTGGTCCAGGGGCTAGGGCAGGGACTTTGGAGTCACGCCGTTGGCTTTGAATCCAGACTCCTACGCTTGGTAGCTGTGAACTCTCCATGCCTCAGGGACCTGCAGAACTGAGCTCTGTCTGAGCCAGGTTCCATCCAGGCACTGTGCATCCATCCAGAGGGGCACTGCCTCAGGCTGCTCGCTATTCACTGCCTTCCCAAGCAGACCCTTGTCTCCTTCTAGGCCCTCACAATCCAGTGGAGGAGACGAAACTCATCTGCCTCTGTCCCTCTGGGCACGCCTCATGCCAGGTGCATCTGTGGACAGGGGCCACGCTCCTGGGCTTCCAAAGTTGGAGAAAGCTGCCAGGCTCAGGTGGGTACATCACAGCAGCTGCTGCCCTCTGAACACAGTGACAAAAGAACACTCTGGGCCTGGAGCCCTGGTCTGGGGCATTGGGCAAGGCTGTTGCACTTCTCTGATCCCATTTCCCCATCTGGAAAGTGCGCTGATTGTATCTCCCTGTGGGCACTGAGGGCTCAGTGTTAGTTTGATAGCCAGCATCTGGGGTTTGGGCTGTAATTCCCCATCAGCCCCATAGCTGCGGGGAACCAGGGACTTTGCTGGGATTACCCTAGGCATCAGTTTAGCTTCCTGCCCCTGGCTTGGGCTCAGCACCTGAAGTAGTCTAGGGGGTAGGTGGTCCTGGTGGGGGCTGGGGCTTTTACTCAGACTGAGGTCACACCCAGAGCCAGAAGTCTTGGTGCCTGCTCTGGGCAAAGGTGCCAGCCTGTGCGACAAGAGCGAAACTCCGTCTCCAAAACAAAAACAAAAAACCTTGCGTCATTTCAAGGGGCTCACACCTCCCTAAGGGCCTGGTAATTGGCTGGCTCTGGCCTGCATCTGGCCCCGAGGGTGTAGGTAACACCCCACCTTACCTGGTTTCTTCCTGCCAGGGCCAATCTTCAGACCTCAGGACTTTGCAGCCTATCCCACCTCCCCTCTGGCCAGCCTTGAGCCCTTGTGGGTCCAGCACTTTTTCCAGGCTGTCTCCTGGTTGTCCTTCTGCCTCGAGGCCTGGCTCATGCTGCTCCCCCTCCCACTCTCCAAGACCCACAAGGACCACTCCACACCCAGCTCAGCCCCATCCCCTCAGATAGTCCTTTCTCTTTCCTCAGGTGGCCAGGTGCATATCTTGGTGTGAGGACCTTCACTGTATCTGGGAATGCCTACTGGTTACCTCGGTAACAGAGAACAAGGCATTTGCCTGATATGAGTGTCTTGGTTCACTGTCTACATGGCTAGGGAGGGAGTCAATAATAGGCTTTTCACTTGCTGCAAGGGCCAGTTCTCCTGGCCCCATGGCTCTAGGGATGGAGGACGCTGCAGGAGATGCACTGCTCACTTCCCAGCTGAGGACTGTGGGTCATCTCAGGGCGATTTCACAGTCCCCACATGCCCCACCCCCTCAGCTCTGCAAATACCAAGCAGTGCAGCCTGCCTAGGGGATGATGGGCTAGAGAGTGCCCAGGTAGTGCCCAGAGTGCCCTTGGCAGGCCCCTCACCTGGCTGCTTCCACAGCTCTGTAGCAAGAGTTCTAACCATTTTTGACCGTGAAGCCTGCTGAGAATAAGAGCTGTGGACTGTTTTCCCAGAAAGGCATGTACATGCTCTCCACACAAAACCTTTCATCGTGGCCAAGCACAGTGGCTCATGTAATCCCAGAACTTTGGGAGGCGGAGCCAGTCGGATCACCTGAGGTCAGGAGTTCAAGACCAGCCTGCCCAACATGGCGAAACCCTGTCTCTACTAAAAATACAAAAAATTAGCCAGGTGTGGTGGCAGCCACCTGTAATCCCAGCTACTCCGGAGGCTGAGGCAGGAGAATCACTTGAACCTGGGAGGCACAGGTTGTAGTGTGGTGAGATCATGCCACTGCACTCCAGCCTGGGCGACAGGAGCGAAACTCTGTCTCAAAAAACAAAACAAAACAAAACCTTGCATCCTTTCAGGGGGCTCACACCTCCCTAAGGGCCCAGTAATTAAACCCTTTGGGCCTGAGGGTGAGAAACTTTGTCTCAGTTCTTCCCCGAGTGATCAGCCCAGGGGTAAGGAAGGAGAAGCCAGAAAGCAGGACCCATGAGAAGGGCCCCCTCCTGGAGTTTGAGGCCCACTCCCTCCTGCCCCTGCCTCTCCTCTGTCCAGGACTCCTCCCTGCTCTGCCCCACTCCTGGGGCCATAACCATGGGGAGCTGTGGTTTTCTACAGGCCCCTGGGCACAAAGTGGACAGGCTCACCTGGAGGCGATCAGAGTAACATGGCAGGAAGTGAGGGGGAAAGCCGCCCTGGAACTGTGCCTCTCTGCCCCCTGACGTCACTGGCGTGCACTCCTCCCTCCCCTCACTCAGGCAGTGGCATGAGTTCCACGTGAGTGCTGTCCTGCTCCCTCTGCTGCCTCTTTTTTTCCTTGGGGCTGCCATAACACTTTCCCTTCCCCAGCCCTGCCAACCTGGTGGGACATTGGGCTTCCCTCTCACAGGGTCCTGGGGACAGGCCCATCCTTTATCATACCCACAGAGAGACCCTTTTTTTCTTCAGGACCTGGGGAGCAGCCAGGTTCCATGAGTTAAATGCAGATCTGAACCAAGCTGGGATTGGGGTACACACTCTCCTCTACTGAAAAGTAGCTAGGGATTCCAACTAGGTGAGAAGGAGAGTGGGGCAGAGCCAGACCAGACAAGGACTGATCACCTGGAAAAAGCCTGCCATCAAAGGTCTTGGCAAATGCTGGGTGCAGTGGCTCACTCCTGTAATCCCAGCACTTTGCGGGGCTGAGACAGATGGACTACTTGAGGCAAGGAGTTCGAGTCCAGCCTGGGCAACATGGCAAAACCCCATCTCTACTAGAAATACAAAAATTAGCTAGGCATGCTACACTCCTGTAATCCCAGCTACTCAGGAGACTGAGGCAGGAGAATCACTTGAACTGGGGAGGCAGAGGTCGAAGTGAGCCGAGATTGTGCCCCTGCACTCCAGTCTGGGAGACAGAGTGAAACTGGCCTCAAAAAAAAAAAAGAATATGGCCTTGGCAGAGAGGGGCCAGCCCAGCAGTGCCTTCCCTTGGGTTTCTCCTGGGTAGGCCTCTGCCATGAGGAGGTGCTTCCTTCTGCCTGTCCATGGCCCACAGCAATGGAATGTCTGCTTCTGGGGCTTGGGTGGGAGACTGCTGGCAGAACTGGAAACCTTCAGGTGGGGTTTTTTTGTTTTGTTTTGTTTTCGAGATGGAGCGTCGCTCTGTCACCCAGGCTGGAGTGCAGTGGTGGAATCTCAGTTCACTGCAACCTCCGCCCCACTGGGTTCAAACAATTCTCCTGTCTCAGCTTCCTGAGTAGCTGAGATTACAGGCATGTGCCACCATGCCCGGCTAGTTTTTGTATTTTTTGTATAGATGGCATTTCACCATGTTGGCTGGGCTGGTCTCGAGCTCCTGACCTCAAGTGATCCACCCACCTCGGCCTCCCAAAGTGCTGGGATTACAGGCATGAGCCACTGAGCCCAGCCCCTTCAGGGGGGTTTTGAGGCTTCACTACAATACTAGTTTCCTGTGGCTGCTGCAACAAATTACCACACACTTAGTGACTTAAAACAACCAAAATGTATTCCCTTACAGGTCTGAAGGCCAGAATTCTACAGTAAGTCCTACTGAGTCAAGGTGGGAGCAGGGTCGGTGGCTTCCGAGGCTCTGCGGGAGAATCCGTTTCCTGGCGGTAGAGGTGGCCTGCACTCCTCAGCTTGTGCTGCCCGTCTCGAATGACTGGAGTTTCCTGCTTCTGTCACTACACCTCCCACCCTCTCCCATCACCTGCTCTGCTCTTACAAGGATCCGAGTGAGTACATCAACCCCAAAAGCCAAAGACCCTTAACTTCATTATATCTGCAAAGCCTCTTTTGCCATATAAGGTCATGTTCACCAGTTCCCGGGATTAGGATATGGGCATCTTGGGGGCATCAGCCTGCTACAGCTAGGCTGCAAAACTGTTACACCCTCCTGGTGTTACAATGATTGGGAGAAAAAGGGTTGGCATTTTTTGCTTAGGGGTCCCTCTTAAACTTGTATCTGTAAGGTCGGGGGTCCCTCTTAATCTTGTGTTTTTGTTTTTGTTTTTTTGAGGTGGAGTCTTGCTCTGTCATCCAGGCTAGCAGTGGCGTGATCTTGGCTCGCTGCAATGTCTGCCTCCTGGGTTCAGATGATTCTCCTGCCTCAGCCTCCTGAGTAGCTGGGACTGCAGGCGCCCGCCACCATGCCCTGCTGTTTTGTATTTTTGGTAGGGACGGGGTGGGGGTGGGGCTAGGGAGGGGGGTTTTGGCTATGTTGCCCTGAGCTCAAAGCGATCCGCCTGCCTCTGCTGCCAAAGTGCTGGGATTACAGGCCTGCACCACTGCACCCGGCTGCTGTAAAGTCTTATTTCACACAGCTGAGACATGTTTTAGGAAGTTTGCTAAAAGACCCCGGGAGACCGCCTCATTGTGACCTCCCTGTTATTGTGTTTAATTTGATTGAACTTTTCTGCCCTCCTGCTTTTCAGCTTCTCTAATAGTCTCCCATTAAACCAATTCTAAGAACCACCAAAAAGGGGAAATTTTTTCTTGAAAGCAGTAAAATGATATGGACCGTTAGAATGTAAAATATATGAAATAAGTCATTATATGTTAGTGCTGCTCTGACATAGGGACGTATTATTGAGAAGCAACTTTTGCTTGATTTTCAGAGAAATGGAATAATCGTATCGCTGATCTATGTAAACAAATTGAAGAATTGTCTGAAAGAAAATATGGTATGTCTAAACTGGAAAAGTCCTGTAATCTTATGTTCATGGGCGTTTACACAATGGAGTTACTGTTCATCATGGGGGTACCGTGGACAAGCCCAGGGCTGCCGGCGAGTCATGCCATCCTTACACGTTTCTCCTTGTAAGGTGCTTTGTAGTGTCTACACACTTTGTTTCTAGATTGCTGCAAAGCTGAGGAAAAGTTGTATTTCTTTAGTTATTAGCATTTCTTTTAAACTTTCAGTATGGAGATTGGAAATTTATTTACATATTTATTGCAAAGCCCTGGATCTTAGGGATTTCATTGAATTATTTATTTATTTTTTTTGAGACGGAGCCTCACTCTGTCGCCCAGGCTGGAGTGCAGTGGCACGATCTCGGCTCACTGCAACCTCCGCCTCCCGGGTTCAAGCAGTTCTCTGCCTCAGCCTCCTGAGCAGCTAGGATACAGGCACCAGCCACCATGCCTGGCTGATTTTTGTATTTTTAGTAGAGACGGGGTTTCATGATCTTGGCTAGGCTGGTCTTGAACTGCTGACCTCCTGATCCACTCACCTCAGCCTCCCAAAGTGCTGGGATTACAGGTGTGAGCCGCCACGCCTGGCCAAATATTATTTTTTTAAATGAATTGTTTCTCTTAGTCTGCTTTGTTAAATTTGGAATTCATCTGGGCGTGGTGGCTCACACCTGTAATCCCAGCACTTTGGGAGGCCAAGGCAGGCAGATATCTAGGTCGGGAGTTCGAGACCAGCCTGACCAACATGGAGAAACCCCATCTCTACTAAAAATACAAAATTAGACGGGTGTGGTGGCGCATGTCTGTAATCCCAGCTATTCGGGAGGCCAAGGCAGGAGAATCGCTTGAACCCAGGAGGCAGAGGTTGCGGTGAGCCGAGGTTGCACCGTTGCACTCTAGCCTGGGCAAAAAGAGCAAAACTCCATCTCAAAATAAATAAATAAATAAAATGTTCAGTACTCACCAAGGTGCCCCTATTGTCTCTACTTTTATCTTGATGCATCACTGAATTGATGTTAGATTTCAAATTCATCATTGTCCTTACACTATTCTATCCTGAAGCCACCTTTATATAGTGATGAAAGAAATTAGTGATTTGTTATTATCCTCTCTCTGTTGGTATACATCAAATGCTCACCTAAAAAGAGCAACAACCAGTGGAAAACACATGATGTTTTTATTTGGGTGACTATTTACTTGTAACCTACTAGCAAACTATAAAATTGTATGATATGCAGAATTTTAACTGAATTGCTTTAAGTGAACATTTAAACATGATAAACAATATTGATGGTATTTATGTTAATATACTTAAAATGAACATTTTTCTTCATCATGAGTAATATAACCTACTCCTCAATGAAAACCTAGCATTAAATTTGCTAATGAATTCAATAACATTTCCATAATATTTTTAGTTACATGCTTAAGGTTCTCTTAGTGTTTCTCCCACTTTTTAATAGCTTATGCCTTTTTCGCCTTTGGTTTTTTTTGGTTCATTTTAAAGCAAAAATCTCACAACATGTGATATCTGGAAACACTGTAACCTAGTGGTAAGACCATAGGCCCTGGGGACACAGGCTGGCCACGTCTCTTCTCCTGTCTGAGCTTTAGTATCCTCTTTTGTGGTCGTGAGAACTGAAGATCTGTCCCGAAGATTTGATAAGATAGTAAAGTGCTTCACATAATACCAGACATATAAATACACAGTAAATGCTTCCTCCTTATATTTTTATTGATTGATTGATTGAGACAGAATCTTGCTCTCTTGCCCAGGCTGGAATGCAGTGGCGCGATCATGGTTTCTGCAACCTCCACCTCCTGGGTTCAGGCAGTTCTCTTGCCTCAGCCTCCCGAGTAGCTGGGATTACAGGTGCCTGCCACCATGCCCAGCTAATTATTGTACTTTTAGTACAGACGGGGTTTTACCATGTTGGCCAGGCTGGTCTCGAACTCCTGACCTCATGATCTGCCTGCCTCGGCCTCCCAAACTGCTGGGATTACAGGTGTGAGCCACTGTGCCCAGCCTGTCTTTTCTCTTCACACCCGCAGTTCATGATGAAATATTAAATATGTACTAGTGGATATTACTTTGCTGAATATTGCCTAGTGAATATTAAGTATTTATTCTCACCTTTCAGACATGAACTTATGAATTCAACAGGTGAAGATTTACAACTTGATAAATCAGCTTTGTGAGGTATGTCTTCAGTCTTAAGTCAGATTAGAAGATTATGTGAGGTAATTAACACTTAACATTGATTTAATGGTAGCTTCCACATGAAATAGTATGCCTCTAAGTATTAATTATGTCCTAGGACAGGAGAATTCATGTTGTCAAAATTCTCATACTCTCTAGAACAATAAACTCATTTTCTTTTTATTAGTAAATATTGCATTTATGGGTAGACAAAACTGAAAGAACAATATTTGTTCTACTTTTGAGATGCGAGATTCATCTGGCATAATGCATTGAACAGGTTATTATTGAAGTCTACACCAGTCAAGTGAATAAGCATTCATCAAATGTCCATGATATGCAGGACATAAGTTTTCTTTTAGAGTATGGAACCATGCATATTATCTTTTAATTAGATGATTTAGTTAGATATGTTTTTAAAGAACTAGAAATGTAATTGATTTTCTTGTTTTGGCTCTGGAGTGGAGTGGGGACGAAACAGAATGGATTCACGCTGTTTAGATTTACTAAAATGGAAGGATTGCAGCAAGATCATATCCCTAGTCTCCCCATAGCAAATGTCACCTGCTAGCTGTTTTTTTTTTTTTTTTTTTGGAGGTTGAAGTTTTGTTCTGTCACCCACGCTGGAGTGCAGTGGTATGATCTTAGCTGATGGCAAGCTCACCTCCTGGGTTCAAGCAATTCTCCCTGCCTCAGCCTCCTAAGTAGCTGGGATTACAGGCCTCTGCCACCACGCCTGCCTAATTTTTGTATTTATAGTAGAGTTGGCGTTTCACCATGTTGGCCAGGCTGGCCTTGAAGTCCTGACTTCAGGAGATTCACCCGCCTCAGCCTCCCAAAGTGCTGGGATTATGGGTGTGTCACTGCACTTGGATTTAATGGGATATTTCACTACAGACTTTGGTAAACAGAATATTAGCATGTTTGGTGTTCTTTTTATTTTACTCATACTATTTTTCTTTGGACTCAATCACAATAACAGAATTAAAGATCAAAGTGTAAAAGTTAAACACCAGTACAGATTCAATAATTATTCTTTTCTACATACTGTGTTTAAATGATATCCCTTTTTCTTTTTGTTCTTATAGCTCGAGCTGTAAAAGCCAAAGGTCCGGTGATGATCCCATACCCTTTTTTCCAGTCTCATGTTGAAGATTTTTATGTAGAAGGCCTTCCCAAAGGAATTTTTTTTTTTTTTTTGAGATGGAGTTTTCACTCTTATCGCCCAGGCTGGGGGGCAATGGCGCAACCTTGCTGGTCACTGCAACCTCTGCCTCCTGGGTTCAAGAAATTCTCCTGCCTTAGCCTCCCAAGTCACTGGGATTACAGGTGCCCACCACCACACGAGGCTAATTTTTGTATTTTTAGTGGAGATGGGGTTTCACCATGTTGGCCGGGCCAGTCTCGAACTCCTGACGTCAAGTGATCTTCCCGCCTCGACTCCTGACATCAAGTGATCTTTCCGCCTCGGCCTCCCAGAGTGCTGAGATTACAGACGTGAACCCATGCCTGGCCAGGAATTTTGTTTTTCAGGAAGGCTTTCTACTAATGGAATTCCTGGCCTTGAGAGGATGTTACTTTCGAAGGAAAGGATTTTTTTGTTATTAAAAGGTAAGATTCCTGGATTCTTATTGGACTGTTATCTCTGTTATGAGTAATCCATCTTTAGTCATTCACCACTAGGGTTGTATTTAATTAAGTCTGAGTTATTTTATGGTGGTGTGGTTTTGTTTTGTTTTGTTTTTACCAAATTTTGTTCTCATTGCCGTGGCTTGAGGGCAATGGCGTGATCTCAGGTCACCACATTCTCTGCCTTCCAGGTTCAAGCAATTCTCCTGCCTCAGCCTCCTGAGTAGCTGGATTTACAGGCATGTGCCACCATGCCTGGCTAATTTTTTGTATTTTTAGTAGAGATGGTGTTTCACCATGTTGACCAGGCTGGTCTAGAACTCCTGACCTTGGGTGATCCACCCGCCTCGGCCTCCCAAAGTGCTGGGATTACAGACATGAGCCACTGCGCCCAGCCTGGGCCTGCTTCTTTCTCTTTTTCTTTTTTTTTCATTAGCAGCTTAAAATTGGTGCCTTATTCAGACACAAGCAAAAGGACATTAGCCCAGCTTTGGAAATAGGTGAGAGGCCATCTATGATTTTCCTAGTTTCTCCTCCCCCTTTGCTTTTTGCTCTCTTGTTAGTATATTAATTGTTTTCACTCTCTGAATCTTTTTTCCCCATTTCTTTGGCAGACATTTTTACTTGTCTTGGAAGAGTAGGTGAAGAGCTGTTTTTAGGACTCTTTGAAAGGGTACAGTATGGGTGACAGTCTTGGCTAATGGTAACATCCAGGGAGCTGGGGTCAGCGTGAGCTGGAATCAGTTCAAATTAGCAAAGCACTGGCACTCAGTGGCAGGAATACAAGTGACTGCAAAGTGTTAAACACATCTGGAAAGGGATACTGACATCATCCTCAGAATCTGTGGGGAGTTCACATAGCCAGTTAAGACCCATTCCTCTTTGACCCTGTAAAGATTCTTTAAAGACTAATACCCTTAGTGGTTTTCTAGCCAGCTTGCCTGCTCATTTATCTTTGAGGACGACATGCCTTGTGGAGCTCCACAGGCCCCAGAGGGGTATGGATTCTGCATTTGAAAGTGCTGAAGCTGAGAGACTGGGTCTTGGTGGACCCCAAGAGGTCTGTTTCTCCTCTACTCATTGTTCCTTTTTTTCCCAGCAGCTGGCATTGCTGTTTAAATGGGTTGTTCTTTGCTGTTTTAAGTTGTTTCATAGTGGTGTGTCAGGATTTGGGTTTTCTTAATACTTTCCAAGCTGGTGACTTGAGTGGTGGTTAGGGAGGAACTGTTTTAGGGCTGTTCTGGAGCTATTGAGGTCAGGTGTCTAGATACTCCCAGCTTGTCTGTTGAGGAGAATGCTGTTCTCATTGTGCTGCCTTTGGTGGTGCTGTGTGTGGCTCTTTAGATGTGGGTGGAGGTGAGCTGGGGGAGTTAATGAGATCTTTTTTAGGTGCTTTTGATAAAGTAGCCTGCACTACAGGATTCACTGTGACTTTTTTCCTTAACCTATGCATTTCTCTCTGCTAGCTTTTGCTGTCTTTCTCATGCCTTTCATTTTCCCAGCTCCTCTTAGTTGAATTAACCTAAGTGCTCTGCTATGGTTTAAATGTGTCCCCCAAAGTTTATGTGCTGGAAACTCAATCCTCAATGCAACAGTTGGGATGTGGGGCCTAATAAAATAGCCTTCATGAATGAGTTAATGTTGTTATTGTGCTAATAGATTAGTAATCACAGAGTGGGTTTATTATAAAACAGAGTTCAGCCCCCTTTGCCCTCTTGCTTTCTTGCACTCTCTTTTCCTTCTGCCTTCTGTAGTGGGATGATGCAGCAAGAAGACCCTTACCAGATGCAGGCCCCTCAACCTTGGACTTCCTAACATCCAGAACTGTTAAGAAATAAAATTTATTCCTTTCCTTTCCTTTTCTTCCTCCTTTCCCTTCTCCCTTTTCTTCCCTTCCCCTCCCTCCCTCTCTCTCTCCCTCCCTCCCTCCTTCCCTCCCTTCCTCCTTCCCTCTTTCTCTCTTTCCCTTCCTTCCTTTCCTTCTTTCCCTTCCTTCCTTTCCTTCCCTCCTTCCCTTTTTCCCTCCTTCCCTCCTTCCTTCCTTTTTTCTTTCCTTCCTTTTTTCCTTTTTATAAATTATGCAGTCTGTGGTATTCTTTTATAGAAGCATGAAATGGACAAAGACTCCATTTTCAAGAGCAAGCACTTTTGTAGTTTCTGAGCGAATTATGACTGCAAAGGAAGTTCTTTAGGTAGCCTCAGATGCACTACCTAGGAAGCATGCTACCAAGCAGACCTAGGATCTAGGATTTGATCAAGTGCTGGGCAACATGATACCTCAGCAATTTAGCACCTCCCTATATACCTCCAGTTGGCTCAGCCCATCAGGGCTAAAACTACCCCTCATATCCTAGTGTCTCTTGTAGGCAGAAGCCTTGCCTAAACCCTAAGCTGCTTGGCTCACATTCTGTCTTGTGCTTTTTTTGTAGGGGGTTCAAATATACACAAAAGAAATATGTTGAACCTCCATGCACCCAACCCGCAGATTAAGCAGTTACCTCCATTTTTCCAGATTTGTTTCGTCTGCTTCAATCTCCCTAAAAATTTATGTTTGTACAGGAAAGACTGAATAAATAGCTAATTCTCCACCCTACCTCTCATCTTAAGTCACTTTTTAGAGTAGTAAGTTAGTGACCTAGTAACCTTCCCTCTACTGACCAGTAGTTTTTTTTCTGAATACCATTATGAACTCAGATTATTGTTTGCATTTGATGTATTTCAGGCCATTGCAGTCTATATTGTTTTGGATGCTTACATTGTCTCATCTAGGTTAATAATTATCTCTTCAAGTTGACTTTCATGTCTTTTTGATGTGATCCTGTTGGACTTTGATGGCTTCCTTGCTTTCTGGCAAAAAAGATGTTCCAGGATCAATATACTGCACCATACATGGAGTCAGCCATTTCTCTAGGGAACCTTGATTCCTTTTAGTAGAGAACACAGTTTGAGGTCTTGGACTGAATGACTTTTGTGAACCTCCTCTCCTGAGACTACAGCCTGCATCCCTGCATATAGCCTGTTTGGAGCTCTTGCTGGGCACCAACAGATCTCCTAAAACTGCTATATAGTTCTGCCTCACTCTTACAAAGATTCATCTCTTGAGAGTTTTGTGCTCTACCCCCAGATGTGGTCTTTCTGGTTCTGAAGCTTTTGCTTCAGTCACCCTGAATTTTGCCAGCCCTATGCATGCTATACCTTGGATTGCCAACTTGCCCTCACTGAAGCCAGTTTCTCTGGTTAGAATAGTTGCCCCAACCCATGCCCAGTACTCTAGTAAACAAGGTTCTACCTGGGCTTAGGTTAACTTTTGCTCCTTTGGCCCTGTGTTCTACCAGCATTCCATTTATCTGAAACTCTCCCTCATCTTAAGAACTTATCTGTTCTTTAATGATTTACTGCTGCTTCCTGGGTTTGAAAGAACCCAGTTCAGGAGTTTCTGTTTTAGTTTGAGATCTCATAGGCCTGTCTCATCAGGTTGGTGTCAGCCCAGCTAGGATTAGGCAGAATTGGGTGGGGGCTGTAGTGCATTTTTGGCACAGCATGTACCTGTCTGACTAATTCTCTGTCTTTTCTTTCCTGTTGCAATTCATGGGTCTTAGCATCTTCTGAATGGTGTTTAGTAGGTCATCCTGTTGATTTCCTGCTAGGGAGTAGCATACTCTGGCTCTGTACCATTGGCCAAGGGACTTAAGGGTAGATGAAGGGCTGCAGTTTTGTTAAATGGAACAATATGAAGAGATGGCATTGTAAAAAAAAAAAAAAAGGCTTGGCAGCAGGGCCCATTTGAATGGTTGGTCCTTGGCTCCTTTGTTGATATAGGCAGATCCTTGATGGGAATTTGGAATGATCCCAAATATTGTAGATCACTGGTACATCAAGTCATCCTCAAGGTTGTCTGTGTAACAGTCTTGAATGATATTTTGTCAGTCTTTGGAGATTCTCTGTATAGGGTTTAATCATTTAGTTATTTCAGTTGAGCCTGTTTAGTTTCTTTGCAAGGAGATAAGAAATGTGAAAGAGATGCAGACATTAGGGAAAAAAAGTCAGGAGCCTTGTTTCCCCACCCTCTACTTGGGTTCTGGAACTAGACTCATAGGTGAGTAGTGAGGAGCTGGGCCCAAGCACATTAATCCTAGATCTAGCTCTGCTTTGCGCTCGCTCCAGTTCTTGTATCAAATTCACTTCAAGCCACCCAGAGTAGTATGTAGAGGAGTCATTCAGGACCGTGCTTATACTTCATTGTATCAAATGGGAGATCCAGTAATTTATAGCCTATTGTTTCTGGAGCCTGGAGATGGCTCTGCATAAGATTTGCTGAAGCAAATTTTATTACATTAGAAGAGAACCTAGCTGGCTGCATCCTACACTGGAAGCTTTTAGCTGCTAATAAGGAGGTCATGTAAAGGTCACAGAATGACTCTGGAATCCATTCCCCACCAAGAAAGAATAATGACATTCTATGTTGGCCTCTTTTCATTTCCCTTTGATTTTGAGTAATAAATTCTCTCCTCACTTCCCAGCTGAACTGTTTGGGAGTCTCTATTCCCTAGAAAGACTCTGGTCACATACCCATCAGATTAAATTAGGTGAAAACTCTTTGGCCTTCATGAATGTTGAAGGATTTCAAAGGGCTAATGGAAATTCTTCTAGAAGTAACTGCAACCTCCGCCTTCCGGGTTCAAGAGATTTTCCTGCCTCAGCCTCCCGAGTAGCTGGGATTACAGGTGTCCACCACCATGCCCAACTAATTTTTGTATTTTTAGTAGAGACGGGATTTCACCATGTTGGCCAGGCTGATCTAGAACTTTTGACCTCAGGTGATCTGCCCGCCTCAGCCTCCCAAAGTGCTGGGATTACAGGCGTGATCCACCGTGCCCAGTTAAACTTCAGTTTTTCATGTTCCATGCATAGGTCAGGGTCTTAGGGAGTGATTCATTCTAGCAGAACTCCCTGGATTTTAAGGCAGATGTTCCATTTATTAATTGACAAAGGAGGCATATTTCTCCCCTGGTAACCCAAAGATTTAGGTCATTTTCCCAGAGACTCCATTTCCACTGTGAGGGTTCTTGGAAAACTAAGCAGAGGATGAGGAAAAGTCTGTGAACAAGCTTGCTGGTCTCTCCCTGTCCTACAAAAGAGCATACCTCTTCTGTAACCAGAAGGCCCTTTTGATTAGTCAAGGCTGGACAGACTGAGATTGGGGGTGTGTGTGTGTGTGTGTGTGTGTGTGTGTTTGTGTGTGTCTTGAGACAGGGTCTCACTCTGTCACCCAGGCTGGAGTGCAGTGGTGAGATCAGAGCTCACTGCAGCTTCCACTTCCTGGGCTCAAGCGATCCTCCTATTTCATCCTCCAGAGTAGCTGGGACTATACGAATGTTTTACCGCACCCAGTTCATTTTCTAATTTTTTGTAGAGATGAGGTTTCACTGTGTTGCTCAGGCTGGTCTTGAACTCCTGGCCTCACGGAATCCTTCTGTCTTAGTCTCCCAGTGGGCTGGGATTATAGGTATGAGCCACCTCACCTGACCTGCGACGATTTTTCAACAATGTAATTTCTCTTTTACAGAGCCACCTAAGCTGAAGATTCCCTTGAGAACAAGTACTGTCCTGCGGTTTCATGGCCCTTCTTCCATTTGTGGTTCTTGCGAAGTGGAATTTAAATGACATCTTATCAAGATGGATAAACCCTAGTTTCCCAGTGCTGGAATATAGAAAATGGATGGACAAGTAAATCCCACTCAGCACCCATAGTCCAGGCATGGGGACCTCAACACACCTGAGCCCCAGACATCACCTTTCATTGTGAGTAGCTCTGAGATGACACTTCTGCTGTTCCCAATTCCAGCATTAATTGGATTAGATAGTTATTTTATGAAGAATTTTCATATGCCACAATCCTGACCATATCTTCAAGTGAACAGAAAAATTCTATTAAAAAGTCAACCTTCTGTCTCACTCTGTTGCCCAGACTGGAGTGCAGTGGTGCAATTATGGCTCACTGCAGCCTCAACCTCCTGGGCTCAAGCAATCCTCCTGCCTCAGCCTCACAAGTAGCTGGGACTACAGGTGCTTGTCACCACACCTCACTAATTTTCCCATTTGTGTTATATGTGGATTCCACAGGACTGACTTCGAAAACTTGAGTATGCGTGGATTTTGGTATACACAGAAATGGGAGAGCTGGAACTAATCCCCCCATATACCAAGGGACAAATTGTATCTGTTTCTACAATTATACAGTAGGAGACATTATGTTCCATGACAATGGTAATTTTTAATGACAGTTTTTAATTGAGTGAAATTACCATAAAAATAATAATAGTAGCAGCTAATATTTACTGAGCTGTTACTAGGTGCCTATAAATAGCATAGATTTTTAAATTCTCCATAATTCTTCCTTATTTCACTTAACCACTCTATCTTAAATTACTCATGCTTGCCTCAGTAGCACACATACTTAAGTTGGAACAATAGAGAGATTGGCATGGCCTCTGTGAAAGAATGACATGCAAATTTGTGAAGCATTCCATATTTTTTTAAAAAAAGAGAAAAAAATTACTCCCAGATTTTCACTGTGTTTGTGCATATGACCTTTTGTTTAGGTTGAATTATATCCAAAGATGAAATTTCCAGAAGTGAGATTACTGTGAGTCACAGGGCATGAGCATTCTTATTACCCTTGATGTAAATTGCAAAGCTTTCAGGCATGGTGGCTGTCAGCCTGTAATTCCAGCACTTTGGGAGGCTGAGGTGGGAGGATTGCTTGAGGCCAGGAGTTGGAGGAGGCAGTATAATGAGTCACTGTCTGTATGATTTAAAAAAAATTTCCAAGCTTTATGCTGGAAGGCTTATATACATTTTAAACACCACTAATACTACAAGAAAATGGCCATTTCACTGCACCTTCGCCCACACAGGTATTATAATTTAACAAGTTATTTTCTGTGTGATAAATGAAAGACCTCATATTATTACTTTGTCACCCATTCTTTTTTCTTTTTGAGGCGCAGTCTCGCTCTGTCGACCAGGCTGGAGTGCAGTGGTGTGATCTTGGCTCACTGCAACCTGTGCCTCCCAGGTTCAAGCGATTCTCCTGCCTCAGCCTTCTGAGTAGCTGGGATTACAGGCACATGCCACCATGCCCGGCTAATTTTTGTATTTTTAGTAGAAACGTGGTTTCACCATGTTGATCAGGCTGGTCTCGAACTCCTGACCTCGTGATCTACCCGCCTCGGCCTCCCAGAGTGCTTGATTACAGCTGTGAGCCATGTGCCCAGCCTATTTGTCACATATTTTATCTTTCCTTATGTTAGCTTATTAGCTTTATTTCTTTATTGTCCTTTTTTTTTTTTTTTGAGATGAAGTCTCGCTCTGTCTCCTAGGCTTCAGTGTAGTGGCACAGTCTCAACTCACTGCAGCCTTGACCTCCTAGGCTCAGGTGATCCTTCCACCTCAGTAGTTGGGACTGTAGGCACATGCCACTATGCCTGGCCAATTATTTTTATTTTTTTATTTTTACTAGAGACGAGGTCTTGCTTTGTTTCTTAGGCTGGTCTGGAACTCCTGGCCTCAAGCAATCCCCCCACCACCCCCTCCCAAAGTACTGGTATTATAAGCATGAGCCACCATGCCTGGGGTATCTGTGTCTTTTCCATTTATTTATTGAGTTACTTTGTCTTTTACTAATTCAATGATCTGTTTAATCTTTTATTAAATTATAAAAATAATAAATACTTTTAAATAAGTGAAAAATGTCCTTCACTCTTTAGACCCATAATCTTATCTCAGGAAATAATTGCAATTGAGAAAATGGTCCATATCCTTCAAGATACATACATGGTGATTGAACATCACTTCATATTTTCATATTTCGTGGACATTTGTGCCAATACCTATTGATCTATCTTAATCCTTTTCATGGTTGCATAATATTTTACTATATGGATGTATCACAATTTACCAGTACCAGTCAACTGCTGGAGGCATTTAGGCTCCTTCTGATATTTGCTTTGAACTCTTTATATAATTAAAAATTAACCCCCTCAGCCAGGTGTGGCAGCTCACACCTGTAATCCCAGCATTTTGGAAGGCTGAGGTGAGAGAACTGCCTGAGTGTAGGAGATCACCACCAACCTGGTCAACATAGTGACACTTTGTCTCTACTAAAAATTAAAAAAAAAAAAAGAGCTACATGTTGCAGTGCACACCTGTAGTCCCAGCTACTGGGGAGGCTAAGACTGGAGGATCACTTGAGTCTAGAGGGTTGAGGCTGCAGTAAGCTATGATCACACCATTGCACTTTAGCTTTGCTAAGAGCAAGACCGCATTTCTTAAACAAAATAAAAATTAGATGGGAATATTGCTCAAGCCCTGGAGGTTGAGGCTGCAGTTAACTGTGATTGCACCACTGCAGTCCAGCCTAGGCGATAGAGCAAGACTCTTTCTCTAAAAATAAAATAAAATAAAAATTAACCTTCTATCATATTTCCCAGTAACACCTTCCCTCCTACATTTCTCCTAGAAGCCCTTAAATTTTGTTTTTCACATGTCATTTAAAACTTTTAAGTGCTGATGTCTGTGTCATCCCTCTTTTTTTTTTTTTTTTTTTTTTTTTTTTAATGTCTTTTTTTCACTTCTAGCTGGACCTACCATGAAAGACTTCTGAATCCAGGAAGAGAAACTGACTGGGCAACATGTTATTCAGGTACAAAAAGACTTCGACTGTAACTCAAAAATGATCAAATAATAGTGCATGCATCAAGTGCAATGGGAAGCTCTTCTGGAGAGGGAGAGAAGCTTCCAGTTAAGGTGACATTGAAGCCAAGTCCTGTAAGATAAGGAAGAGTTGTATGAGAGTGGGGAGGGAAGGGGGAGGTGGAGGGATGGGGATTGGGCTGGGATGGGATGCAGTGAGCTGCCCAGGCAGGGAAACCAGCACTATACAGACCTGAACAATGAAGATGGCACATTTTGTTCAGGGAATGGTGAATTAAGTGTGGCAGAAATGCTTTGTAGAGACAGTAATTTGCTTGTATGGAATTTTGCGCAAGAGACCTCATTACAGTTTCTAATTTTTTGATGTTATCATGCATCACTGCCCTTGTCAGATAGTATCGTGATCACAATAACATCAAGCATAATATTTCATTGATTCTCACAAAAACAGGTGGGTGCCACAGTTATCCCCATTATATGCACAAAATGATGAAGACTTGGGGTTAATGAGCTATTTGCCCAAGCTCACCTGAATATTAAGACTGAGTCAAATGTTAGTCTGGTCTGACTTTAATGCTTGCCTTGTTCATGAGCACCATGCATTGCCTCTCCTGTGCAGTTAAGCAGGTAGACAGGTGAGAGAAGATCCCGTGTGATATCGGGCGAAATTCACCCCTGATATTTCATGTAGGTTCTTTTCTATTTTCCCTGAGTGTCGGCCGGTCTGAGAAATAAAGGGAAAGAGTACAAAAGAGAGAAATTTTAAAGCTGGGTGTCCAGGGGAGACATCACATGCCGGCAGGTTCCGTGATGCCCCCCAAGCTGCAAAACCAACAAGTTTTTATTAGTGATTTTCAAAAGGGGAGGGAGTGTACGAATAGGGTGTGGGTCACAGAGATCACATGCTTCACAAGGTAATAACATATCACAAGGCAGATGGAGGCAGGGCAAGATCACAGGACCACAGGACTGGGGCGAAATTAAAATTGCTAATGAAGTTTCGGGCACGCATTGTCATTGATAACATCTTATCAGGAGAAAGGGTTTGAGAGCAGACAACCCATCTGACCAAAATTTATTAGGCGGGAATTTCCTTGTCCTGATAAGCCTGGGAGCGCCACGCGAGCCCAGGGCTTATTTCATCCCTTATCGACGACTGTAAAAGACAGCCGTCCCCAAAGCGGCCATTTCAGAGGCCTCCCCTTAGGGATGCATTCTCTTTCTCAGGGATGTTCTTTGCTGAGAAAAAGAATTCAGCAATATTTCTCCTATTTGCTTTTGAAAGAAGAGAAATATGGCTCTGTTCCACCCGGCCCACAGGCAGCCAGAGTTTAAGGTTATCTCCCTTGTTCCCTGAAATTGCTGTTATCCTGTTCTTTTTTCAAGGTGCCCAGGTTTCATATTGTTTAAACAACTTGTGCAGTTAACGCAATTATCACAGGGTCCTGCGGGGACATTCATCCTCAGCTTATGAAGATGACTGGATTAAGAGATTAAAGTAAAGACAGGCATAGGAAGTCACAAGGGTATTGATTGGGGAAGTGATAAGTGTCCATGAAATCTTCACAATTTATGTTCAGCGATTGCAGTAAAGACAGGCCTAAGAAATTATAGAAGTATTAATTTGGGGAACTAATAAATGTCCATGAAATCTTCACAATTTATGTTCTTCTGCCATGGCTTCAGCCGGTCCCTCCGTTTGGGGTCCCTGACTTCCCGCAACACGTTTCTCTCTACTCACAGACTTCTGCCCAAATGTGTGTGCAGAGTTTCTACACCAGTTCTCCAACTCTCTGGATACCAACCGCGTATCCCACAATTCCATTCTGACACTACCTAGAGTTAGCGCAGAACCCACAGGTTAGGGGCTCAGTCCCACAAGACCACCCTCACTTCAGATGCCAGTTGCAAGTCCTAGGTTGTCACCTGTATTTTGACCAACCAGTTAGAAATCAGGGTTTCCCATGACCCTCTTCTTGAGTTTAATTATTTACTAGAACAACTCACAGAACTTAGAAAAACAGGTTTTTTTCTTTTCTTTTTAAGAGACAGGGCCTCGCTCTGTTGTCCAGGCTGGTGTGCAGTGGTGCAATCATAGCTCATTGAAGCCTCAACCTCCAGGGCTCAAGTGATTCTCCTGCTGCAGCCTCTCAAGTAGCTGGAATTACAGGGTTCCCACAACCACATTTGGCTAATTTCTTTTATTTTTTGTATAGATGGGGTCTTCTTATGTTGCCCAGGCTGGTCTCAAATTCCTAGGCTCAAGTGATTCCGCCCACCTCTGCCTCCCAAAGTGCTGGGATTACGGGCATGAGCCAGCGCATCTGGCTACCTTATTTTTCTATTACTGGCTCAATGTAATGGCTCCATCTCAGGAACAGCCAATGAAAGAGATGCACAGGACAGGGTAAGTGGGGAGGGGCACAGAGCTTCCATGCCCTCTGTTGGGCACACTACCCTCCCAGGACCTCCTTGTGTTTAGCAACACAGAAGCCCTCCAAACCCTGCTGTTTGGGTTTTTATGGAGGCATGATTGATAAAATCATTGGCCATTGGTAGTTAAGTCAATCTCCAGTTCCTTTTGCCTCCTGGAGTTCAGCAGGTGAGGCTGAAAGTTCCAAGCCTCAAAAAATGTGGTTGGGGCCAGGTGCGGTGGCTCACTCCTGTAATCCTTGCAGTTTGGAAGGCTGAGGCACATGGACCACTTGAGGTCAGGAGTTTGAGACCAGCCTGACCAACATGGTGAAACCCCGTTTCTACTAAAAATAACAACAATTAGCTAGGCATTGTGGCACATCCCTATAATTCCAGCTACTCGGGAGGCTGAGGCAGGAGAATTGCTTGAACCCGGGAGGTGGAGGTTGTAGTGAGCTGAGATTGTGCCATTGCACTGCAGCCTGGGCTACAAGAGCCAAACTCCGTTTAAAAAAAAAAAAATGTGGTTGCTTTCTCTGGCAGCTAGCCCTCCTCCTGAAGCAGTCTAGGAGCTTGCAGCCACCCTGTTAGCTCAACAGCATCCCACATGCATTCTTACCATGCTGCAGATCTGAAAGACCTTAGAGGCCCTTGTCTCAGGAACCTGGGACTAAGACTAAATATCAAAACAGAAAATGCTCCTATTACCTCTGTCACGAACGGCTTTATAAGAGCTTTGGAAGCTGTATGCCAGGAACCAGGGGCAGAGACCAAATGTATATTTCTTTTCTTATATTGGAGACAGAGTCTCACTCTGCCACTGAGGCTGGAGTGCAGTGATGTGATCATAGCTCACTGCAGCCTTGACCTCCTAGGCTAAAGCAATCCTCCCACCTTAGCCTCTCCAGTAGCTGGAACTACAGGCATGCATCACCATGTCCAGCTGATTTTAATTTTAATTTTGTAAAGGCAGGGTCTTCCTATTTTCCCCAGGCTGATCTCTAACTCTTGGCCTCAAGCAATTCTTCCTCTTTGGCCTCCCAAAATGTTGGGATTACAGATGGGAGCCCCCATACCCACCAATCACAAGGATCTTTATAAGAGAAGGAGGTAGGAGAGTCAGAATTAGAGAAAGTGATGTGGTAATGGAAGAAGAGGTCAGAGAGGGAGATTTGAAGATGCTGCACTTCTGGCCTTGAATATGGAGTCACGAGGTAAGTCAAGGAATGGGGGTGGCTTCTAGAAGCTGGAAAAGGCAAAGGAGCACATTCTGTCTAGAGCCTCCCCCAGAAGGAATGCAGCCCCTCTGACACCTTGACTTTAGCCTTAATAGACCTAGTTGGGCTTCTGGCCCCCAGAACTGTAAGATGGTAGATTTGTGGTGTTTGATGCCACTAAATGTAGGGTACTTTGTTGTAGCAACAACACAAAATGAACATGAAGCTGGGACCTCATGTTACAGTTGCTCACGCCTGTAATCCCAGAACTTTAGGAGGCTGAGGTGGGAGGATCGCTTAAGCCCAGGAGCTTAAGACCAGCCTGGGCAACATAATGAGACCTCATGTCTAAAAAAAATTTTTTTAAAAGGCCAGACGCAGTGGCTCACGCCTGTAATCCCAGCACTTTGGGAGGCCGAGGAGGGTGGATCATGAGGTCAGAAGTTCAAGACCAGCCTAGCCAAGATGGTGAAACCCCATCTCTACTAAAAATACAAACATTAGCCAGGTGTGGTGGTGGGTGCCTGTAATCCCAGCTACTCGGGAGGCAGAGAATCACTTGAACCCAAAAGGCAGACATTGCAGTGAGCCAAGATCGCACCCTTACACTTCAGCCTGGGCGACCGAGACTCCGTCTCAAAAAAAAAAAAAAAAAAAAAGCCATGTGTTGTGGCATGCAGCTGTAGTCTCAGTTCCTAGGGTGGCTGAGGCGGGAGGATTGTTTAAGCCTGGGAGGTTGAAGTTGCTGTGAGCTGTGATTGCACCAGTGTACTCCAGCCTGGGCGATAAAGCAAGACCTTGTTTCAAAAAGAAAGAAAGAAATGAGCATGGTGGGAATGGGGACAGATGGCAGTGTTAAGTAGAGTGGTCAGGGTTGGCCTCATAAGTGAATATTGAGCAAAAGTTTGAAGCAGATGATGGAGCTGGCCAAGGTGCTGAGGGAAGAGCATTGTAGGCTGAGTCAACAGGATAAAGGCATTAGGAGGAAACTCTCTGGTGTGTCTGAGGCTCTGGAAGGAGGCCAGTGGAGCAAAGAGATAGAGGGAGCGAAGTCAGCGAGGAGGCCAGGGAGTTGCTGGGCTGGGATCGGTACAGATCGTGTAAGCCCTGGGATGCTATTGCTGGGGCTTTGGCTTTTACTCTGACTAAAATGGGAACCACCGAGGGCTTCTGAGCAGAGAGGCGACGTGATCTGTCTCCTGATTTAAAAGCACGACCTGGCTGCCAAGTTGAGAAAGACTATGGGAAGATTTGGGTAGAAGCATGGGGGCCAAGCTGTGGCAACATCCCGGTGGGAGATGATAGTGATCCTGACCGGGTTCACGGTGGTGGTGAGAGATGGTCAGAGCCTGGATACATGTTGAAGTCAGTCAGTAGGATTTCCTGACAGACTGGATGTGAGCTGTGAGAGAAGGCAGTGGTCAAGGTTGAGTTTGATTCTGATTGAATTATTAAGTAATTTTAAAAAACACTACTGCCTTTCCCAATCCTACCAAGTAAAGGATGCTAGATAAAAGAAATCTCAGGTCAGGCCAGGTGCAGTGGCTCACACCTATAGTTCCAACAGTTTGAGAGGCAGAGATGGGAGTATGTTTTAAGGCCATGAGTTTGAGAGCAGCCTGGGCAACACAGCGAGACCTCCTCTCTACAAAAATAAAAAAAATAAATTTAATAAAATAAAATAAATATAGCCAGGCATGATGGTATGTACCTATGGCCCCAGTTACTCATGTGGCTGAGATGGGCAGATCTCTTGATTCTAGGAGTTTGAGGCCAGCTTGGGCAACATAGCAAGACTTCTCTCTCTACAAAAATGAAAAAAAGTGCCTGACATGGTGGTACTTGCCTGTATTCCCAGGTATGGGGACAGCTGAGGCGGGAGCATCTCTTGAGCCCAGTTGGTCAAGGTTGCAGTGAGCTATGATTATACCACTGCACTCCATCCTGGGTGACAGAGTGGGACCCTGTCTCAAAATACAAATACAAATGAAATCTCAAGTCAGACCAGTCCCTTCTAGGCTATGTAGGCCTTGTAACCACATAGCTGCATGATCGGGTTTGTGTGGCTGTGGATGAGGAGACCCCTGTCCAATTGTTGGCTATGTAATCAGTTTATTTTTCAATATAGTAATCAAATATATTTCATCATACTTGATGGTCTCAGATATGTGTGGATTTTGGAATTCCCCTTGGAACAGGTTGTAACATCTTATTGGCTCCACAACTCCATAATTTTTTTAATCTGATCAGTTTTTAATAAGATCAGAATTGATATTAGACTACTTAATCGGTTTTGTTAATGAGAAAATGAAATTGTGTTGTTTGCATTTTATCCAAGATGGGTGCCATATTGGCTAAATCTCATCAATACTTGAACAAATGCAAAATTAGAGCTTCTTTATCATGAAACACGATGTAATTCTTGAAGAAGATGCCATTTCTTTTTTTTCTTTTTTTTTAAGATAAGAGTCTTTCTCTTGTCACCCAGGCTGGAGTGCAATGGTGTGATTTTGGCTCACTGCAACCTTCACCTTCTGGGTTCAAGCAATTCTCCTGCCTCAGCCTCCCGAGTAGCTGAGATTACAGGCGCCCGCCACCATACCCAGCTAATTTTTGTATTTTTAGTAGAGATGGGGTTTCACCATGTTGGCCAGGCTCCTCTGGAGCTCCTGACCTCAGGCAATCTGCCTGCCTCAGCCTCCCAAAATTCAAGGAGTACAGATGTGAGCAACCACGCCCGGCCTCCATTTCTTTTTTGTAGTCTTTAATAAACAGCTGCTATCATTGCAGACTTGCTATTTAGGCACTTAGGAATTTTTCACTAGAAGGCATGTAAGTAAGACCATGGGCATTTGTAATGAATTTAGCATTCATTCTTTGACTACATGACTGTCCCCAGAGCTGTAACTTTATTGAATTTTTTAGAAGCCATTTAGCTAGCAACTGAGCCTAACCAGCCACTCACCGTCATTATTCAGTGCTCTTTTATTATTGTCTATTTCTCCTCCAACTTGGCTACACTCACAAAGTGATAAAAACTTGCATTTGTTTTCTTTCCTTTTCAGAGACAGCGTCTTGCTCTGTTGCTCAGGCTACAGTACAGTGACATGATCATGGTTCACTGTAGCCTCAAACTCCTGGGCTCAAGTGGTTCTCTCACTTCAGTCTCCCAAGTAGCTGGGACTAAAGACATGTGCCACCATGTCCAGCTAATTTTTTATCATAGAGACGGGATCTTGCCACGTTGCTCCGACTGGGCTCAAAACTCCTGACCTCAAGTGGTCCTCCTGCCTCAGCCTCCCAAAGTGCTGGGATTACAGGCAGGCATGACCACCTGTGCCCAGCCCCCTATTATTATTATTTTAAATAATAGCTTTATTAAAATATTCACATACCATTCACTTTATTTATTGAAATCTGCAATTCAGTAGGTTTTAGAATATTCACAGAGCTGTGCATAGATCACCACAGTCACTTTTAGAACCTTTCATTACCCTATAGAGAAATCCATACCCCTTAGCCACTACCTCCTACTCTCCCCACCTACCTTCGCCCCCAGCCTTAGGCAACCATTGATTAATTTTTTTGTCACTATAGATTTGCCTAATCTGGACAAATAGAATTGTACAATATGTGATCTTTTGTGGCTTTTTTTCCCTCTTAGCACAGTGTTTTCAAAGTTCCTTTATGTCATAGTGTGTATCAATATTTCATTCCTTCCATGGCAGTATTCCATGGTAGAGACACACTGCATTTTGTTTATCTGTTCATCAGTTGGTGGGTATTTGGGTTGTTTCCATGTATTCCATGTATTGGTCATTATGAATAATGCTGCTGTGAAGATTGTTGTACAAGTTTTTGTGTGGACATATATTTTTATTTTTCTGGGATATATGCCTAGGAGTGAAATTGTTGCATTATAGGATGACTGTACATTTAGCCTTTTGAGAAACTGCCAGACTGTTTTCTAACGTGGCTACACCAGTTGGGTGCAATGGCTCACACCTGTAATCCCAGCTACTCAGGAGGCTCAGCTAGGAGGATGGCTTGAGCCCATGAATTCAAGACCAGCCTGGGCAAGATAGTGAAACCCTGTGTTGATTTTTTAAAAATCCAATTAAAGTGACAAGAAAAGAAATACCCAAACAAAATGGTTACACGATTTTATGTTCCCACCAGTAATGTATGTGGGTTCCAATTCCTCCACATCTTCACTGACATTTTTTTTTTCTAGATAGGGGCTTGCTCTGTCTCTCAGGCCGCAGTGCAGTGATGCCATCACAGTTCACTGCAGCCTTGACCTCCCAGGCACAAGTGATTCTCTCATCTCAGCCTCCTGAGTAGCTGAAAATTACAGGTGTACGCCACCATGCCTGGCTAATTTTTATATTTTTTTGTAGTGATGGGATTTTACCATGTTGTCCAGGCTGGTCTCATACTCCTGGCCTCAAGTGATCTGCCCACCTCAGCCTCCCTAAGTTCTGGAATTACAGGCTGCCACCATGCCCAGCCTTCACCAACATTTGCCATTATCTGTTTTTTTTTTCTTCCTTTATACCTTAAAGCAGTATAAGAACAAGTGTCTTCAATGATAGGAAACAGTATAATCCCAGGGCATTGGGAGGCTAAGACAGGAAGATGTCTTGATGCCAGGAGTTTTTTTTGTTGTTGTTGTTTTTGTTTTTGTTATTGTTGTTGTTGTTGTTTTTGACAGAGTCTAGCTCTGTCACCCAGGGTGGAGTGCAGTGATGGGGTCCACTGCAACCTCCACCTCCCAGGTTCAGGTGATTCTCCTGCCTCAGCCTCCCGAGTAGGTGAGACTACAGGTACACGCCACTACTGCCCAGCTGATTTTTGTATTTTTGATAGAGTCAGAGTTTCACCATGTTGGCCAGGCTGGTCTCGAACTCCAGGCTTCAGGTGATTTGCCTGCCTTAGCTTCCCAAAGTGCTGGGATTACAAGCATGAGCCACCATGCCCAGCCTGATGCCAGGAGTTTTAGACTAGCCTGGGCAACCTAGCAAGACCTTGTCTCTACAGAATATTTAAAAATTAGCCAAATGTGGTGGTGCCTGTGTATAGTCTCTCTCCCTCTCTCTTTTTTTTTTCTTTCTAACTTTTTGTGACATGGTCTGGCTCTGTCACCCAGGCTGAAGTGCAGTGGTGTGATCATGGCTCACTGCAGCCTGAAACTCCTGGGATCAAGTGATCAATCCTCCCACCTCATCCTACCAAGTAGTAGGGACCACAGGTGTATGCCACCCAGGTCTTGCTATGTTGCCCAGGCTGGTCTTGAGCTCCTGGCCTCAAGCAATCCTCTCACCTTGGCCCCCCACAGTGCAAGGATTACAGGTATGAGCCACCATGCCTGGCCCCTACCCTGCCTATTGAGAACCAAAAGAAGAATCCAAATTCTCCTTAGCTCAACTCGAGCCATTTCCTGATTGCTTCATCAGCAAGGAGCTGGTTATTGGGCTGTCCAGGCCTCCCAAGCAGCACAGAAATGAGGTGAAGGAGTTTTCCTGCTCCTCCACTCTGTAAGGAGTTGGAGGGTGATGTTTACTCGTTTGCAGAGAGAGATGCCTTGTAGGCACCTTAGGATGGAGAGGACCCTGATTCCAATGTCCTTTTTTTCTTTAGAAACAGGACCTTGCCCTGTCACTCAGGATGGAGTTCAGTGGTCCTATCATGGCTCATTATAGCCTCAAACTCCCAGGCTCAAGCAATCCTACCATGTCAGCCTTCCCAGTAGCTGGGACTACAGGTAAGCATCGTGACACTCAGTGAATTTTGTTTTTATTTTGTTGTAGAGATGGGACCTCAGTATGTTGCCACGGCTGACCTTGAACTCCTGCACTCAAGGGATTTTCCTGCCCTGGCCTCCCAAAGTATTGGTATTACAGGCATGAGCCGTTGTGCCCACCGTTTCTGGTTCTTAACCTTCTGCCTTCCTCTTCCAGTTTTAAAGAATGCTTGTAATTACATGGGCTCTCCTAGATACTCCAGGATAATCTTGTTTTAAGGTCAACTGATGAGCAACATTAATTTTATCTGCACTCTTAATTCCCCCTTCCTATGTAACTGTGCTGTGTAACATAGGACATGAGCAATTGGTGGCAGTGGGGGTTCTTACTTTGGCCACCACAGTAACTATTTTATGCCAGGTACTCAGCTAAGCACTGGTGAATTAAGCATGAATAACACACACTCCCTAATCTCCATCCATTCATGGGAGGAGCACCTCACCTGCCATGCTCCTGAGAATCTCGGGAGTCAAAGAAGTCTTCTGTGAGGAGGTGATGCCAAAGCGGACAAGTGACAGAGGAGTCGAAGCTAGCTAGGAAGAGAGTAGAGGTTTAAGGGGAAGTATATTATAAGCAGAGGATATTACCCACTTCAGAGACTCCCAGAGGAGAAAGAGTGTGCGTTCAAGGGGCAGATGAGGCTCAGTTGGACTCCATAGCAGATGAAATGGAGAGGGGCAAGCAGTGAGGCTGCCTTGCAAGGCAGGGCAGAGCAGGGGCTGTTAAGGAGTTTGGACTTAATCCCTGAGGCAAGGAGAAGTGATGTAAATGGGGGAGTAACATGATGAGATTCATGGATTAGAGACATGGCTCAGGCTGCTGTAGAGAAGGCACCAGGGAGAGCAGATGGCTCAATGGGTGTGCAGGAGACCTCTCCCTGAGTTTAGGGAGAGGTTTTTAAAACAGAAGAAGTTTGAGTAATTTAAATGATGATGGGAAGGAGCTAAAAGTGGGGGATAGGTTAAAGATACAGGAAAGTGGGAGGAAGAACTGACAAGTGAGGTTCCAGAGAGGGCAGGAGAAGAGGAGATTCCCATAGGGGGATTAACACTTTCTTTTCTTTTTTCTTTCTAAGACAGGGTCTCACTCTGTCGCCCAGGCTGGAGTGCAGTGGCACAATCTTGGCTCACTGTAGTGTAGACTTCCCAGGCTCAAGGGATTTCTCCCACCCCAGACTCCCAAGTAGCTGGAACTACGGGTGTGCACCACCACCACACCTGGCTAATGTTTCTTTTTTTGGTAGACACAGAGTCTCACTATTTAGCACTGATTGGTCTCCAACTCCTGGCCTCAAGCGATCCTCCTGCCTAGGCTTCCCAAATTGCTGGGATTACAGGCATGAGCCACAATGCCTGGCCTCTGCTAGTTCCGTATTCTCTAGAGTTGTCTTTACTTTGTGCTAGTGTGTCCCTCATTGTGCTGATCCTCTGTAAAAATTAATACCTTTTTTTTTTTTCGAGATGGAGTTTCACTCTTGTTGCCCAGGCTGGAGTGCAATGGCGCTATCTCGGCTCAGCGCAACCTCCACCTGCCGGGTTCAAGCGATTCTCCTGCCTCAGCCTCCCGAGTAGTTGGGATTACAGGCATGTGCCACCATGCCCAGCTAATTTTGTATTTTTAGTAGAGATGGGGTTTCTCCATGCTGGTCAGACTGGTCTCAAACTCCTGATCTCAGGTGATCTGTCTGCCTTGGCCTCCCAAAGTGCTGGGATTACAGGTATGAGCCATTGTGCCTGGCCAAAATTAATACTTTTTATATTAAATTTACATATATATACGTTTTTTCTTTTTGATACCGGGTCTCACACTGTCACCCAGGCTGGAGTACAGTGGCACAACCTCTGCTCACTGCAGCCTCCACCTGCCAGGCTCAAGCAATTCTCCTGCCTCAGCCTCCCGAGTAGCTGGGATTACAGGTAAGTGCCACCACACCCAGCTGATTTTTGTGTTTTTTGTAGAGACGAGGTTTCGCCATATTTCCCAGACTGTTCTCAAACTCCTGAGCTCAAAGCAGTCCACCCACCTTGGCCTCCCAAAGTGCTGGGATTACAGATGTGAGCCATCTTGCTCATTCTAGTTTAAACTTTTGAGTGGTTTGTGTCTCCTGATTGGACTCCTACAAATACAGAATTGATGCTAGGAAGGGTACCAGGAGATAGACGCACACAGATGGGATTTGGGAATAGGTTTGGTTATCCAAGGAGCAGTGCTGAGCTCCTTGCTAATGGGATATGGGATGCTGGTGATTTCCAGGAAGTGACCGCACAATGACTCAAGCTACCACATACTGTTGATTGTGAAATGCCAGTTGAAGCATATGTCCTGCGAGCTTAGGGGTGCTACAAGTTGACCACTGCAGCAGTAAAGATGACTCTGAAGAATGGCGTGGGATGGATCCTTTCGAATGCATTTGAGCAGCGGTCTCCAACCACAGGGCCACAGAGCTGGAGGTGAGCAGCAGGCGAGTGAAGGGAAACTTCATCTGTATTTCTAGCCCCTCCCATCGCTTGCATGACCACCTGAGCTCCATGTCCTGTCAGATCAGCAGCAGCATTAGATTCTCATAGGAGCACAAACTCTGTTGTGAAGTGTGCATGCGAGGGATCTAGGTTGTGTATTCCTTATGAGAATCTAATGCCTGATATTCTGTTACTGTCTCCCATCACCCCAGATGGACAGTCTAATTGCAGGAAAACAAGCTCAGAGATCCCACTGAGTCTACGTTATAGTGAGTTGTAGAATCATTTCATTATATATTACTGTGTAGTAATAATAGAAATAAAGTGCACAATATATGTAATGCACTTGAATCATCCTGAAATTATTCCCTCACTCCCAGTCTGTGGAAAAATTGTCTTCCACACATTCACTCTGTTTTTTGGTAGAGGCAGGGTCTTAATATATTGCCCAGGCTGATCTCAAACTCCTGGCCTCAAGTAATATACCTTTCTCAGCCTCCCAAAGTGCTGAGATTACAGGCATAAGCCACCACCCTCAACCAAGACTTTCTTAAACCAAATAAAAATTAAGTGAGATTACTTGAGCCCAGGTGGTCAAGGCTGCAGTGAGCCTGATTGCACCACTGCACTCCAGCCTAGGTGACAGAATGAGACTGTCTCAAAAAATAAAATAAAATACAAATTAACCCTTTATGACATTCCCAGTAACTTTCCCTCCTAAGTGTTCCCCACAAGTCTTTGAATTCTGTTTAATTTTCACATAACATTTAAGACATTTAAGAACTTATGTCTGTCTGTGTCATCCCTTTATGTCAAAAGATGTCTTTTTGTCACTTCCAGCTGGATCTACCATGAAAGACTTCTGAATCCAGGAAGAGAGACTGACTGGGCAACATGTTATTCAGGAACAAAAAGATTTGGACTGTAACTTAAAAATGATCAAATAATAGTGCATGCATCAAGTGCAATGGGAAGCTCTTCTGGAGAGTGAGAGAAGCTTCCAGTTAAGGTGACATTGAAGCCAAGTCCTGAAAGATGAGGAAGAGTTGTATGAGAGTGGGGAGGGAAGGGGGAGGTGGAGGGATGGTGAATGGGCCGAGATGGGATAGCGCAAACTGCCCGGGAAGGGAAACCAGCACTGTACGGACCTGAACAACGAAGATGGCATATTTTGTTCAGGGAATGGTGAATTAAGTGTGGCAGGAATGCTTTGTAGACACAGTAATTTGCTTGTATGGAATTTTGCCTGAGAGACCTCATTGCAGTTTCTGATTTTTTGATGTCATCATCCATCACTGTCCTTGTCAAATAGTTTGGAATAGGTATAATGATCACAGTAACCCCAAGCATAATATTTCATTAATTCTCACAGAATCACAGGTAGGTGCCACAGTTATCCCCATTTTATGAACGGAGTGATGAAGCCTTAGGAATAATGAATGATTTGCCCAAGCTCACCTGGATATTAAGATTGAGTCAAATGTTGGGTTTGGTCTGACTTTAATGTTTGCTTTGTTCATGAGCACCACATATTGCCTCTCCTATGCAGTTAAGCAGGTAGGTGACAGAAAAGCCCATGTTTGTCTCTACTCACACACTTCTGACTGAATGTATGTATGGAGTTTCTACACCAAATTCTTCAGTGCTCTGGATATTAACTGGGTATCCCATGACTTTATTCTGACACTACC
The DNA here is from genome assembly GCF_000001405.40 of Homo sapiens. Taxonomy (NCBI): domain Eukaryota; kingdom Metazoa; phylum Chordata; class Mammalia; order Primates; family Hominidae; genus Homo; species Homo sapiens. Next base: position 243,065,390 of record NC_000001.11, on the reverse strand, counting down.
TGGAGTTAGCACAGACCCCACAAGTTAGGGGCTCAGTCCCACGAGGCCATCCTCACTTCAGATGCCAATGGCAAGTCCTAAGTTGTCACCGTACTTTTGACCAACCTGTTACCAATCGGGGGTTCCCATAACTGTCTTCTTGGGTTTAATAATTTGCTAGAACAGTTTACGGAACTCAGAAAAACAGTTTATTTTCTTTTTTTCTGAGAGAGAGGGTCTTATTTTGTTGCCCAGGCTGGTGTGCAATGGTGCAGTCATAGCTCATTGCAGCCTTGATTGTCTGGGCTCCAGTGGTTCTCCCACCTCAGCCTCCCTAGTAGCTGAGTGTACATGCCTGCACCACCACATCTGGCTAGTTTCTTTTATTTTTTGTATAGATGGGGTCTTGTTGTGTTGGCCAGGCTGGCCACAAATTCCTGGTCTCAAGTGATCCTCCCACCTCAGCCTCTGAAAGTGCTGGGATTACAGATGTGAGCCACCACATCTGGCCAGTTCATCTCCTATTACTGGTTCATTGTGAAGGATACATCTCAGAAACAGTCGATGAAAGAGACGTGCATGCTGGATGCAGTGGCTCATGCCTGTAATCTCAGCACTTTGGGAGGCCAAGGTGGGAGGATCGCTTAAACTCAAGAGTTTGAGACCAGCCTGGGCAACATGGTGAAAACCTGTCTCTATAAAAAATTAAAAAAAAAAAATAACTGGTGTGGTGGTGTGCACCTAGAGTTCCAACTACTAGGGAAGCTGAGATGAGAGGATACCTTGAGCTGGGGACTGGGGAGGCTTAGGTTACAGTAAGCTGAGGTTGTGCCACTGCACTCTAGCTTGGACAAAAGAGCCTGATCCTGTCTCAAAAAAAAGAAAGATACCCAGGGCAAGTTAAGTTCGGAGGGGCACAGAGCTCCCATGCCCTCTGTTGAACATGCGACCCTCCCAGCATCTCCTGTGTCCAGCAACCCTGAAAGCTCTGCAAACCCCTTTCAGGGTGTTTATGGAGGCTTTATTATGCAAGCATGATTGATAAAACCTTTGGCTGTTGGTGATTAAGTCAGTCTCCAGCCCCTCCTCCTCCTGGAGTTCAGTGCATGAGGCTGAAAGTTCCAAGCCTCTTATAATGTGGTTGCATGGTAATCAGCCCTCCTCTTGAAGAAATTTAGGAGCTTGCAGTCACGCAGTCATCTCAACAACATCCCCAAATGCATTCTTACCATGCTGGAGATCCCAAAGTTATTAGAGGCTCTTGTGTTAGAAACCTGGGACCAAGACCAAATATTAAAACAAAAGATGTTCCTGTCACATCTGCCACTGAGGTCTTTGTAAGAGCTTTAGAAGCTCTGTGCCACGAACCAGGGACAGAGATTAAATATGTATTTCTTTTCTTTTTTTTGAGACAGAATCTCCTGTGTCATCCAGGCTGGAGTGCAGTGATGTGATCATAGCTCACTATAGCTTTGGCCTCCTGAGATCAAGCAATCCTCCCATCTCAACCTCCCAAGTAGCTAGGACTACACATGCATGTCACCCATGCCCAGCTCATTTTTGTAGAGTCAGAGTTTCGCCATGGTGGCCAGGTTGGCCATGTTGGCCAGATGGGGTCTTCTTTTGTTGCCCAGGCTGGCCACAAATTCGTGGGCTCAAGTGGTCCTCCCACCTCGTCCTTGTAGAGATGAGATTTAGTTATGTCGTCCAGGCTGATCTCAAACTCCTGGGCTAAATCGATTGTCTCACCTCAGCCTCTCAAGTAGCTGGGACTACAGGCGCATACCACCATGTCGGGCTAATATTTATTTTTATTTTTTTCTAGGGGGGGTTCTCACTGTGTTTTTCATGCTAGTTTCAAACTTCGGGCCTCAAGTGTTCCTCCTGCCTTGACCTCCCAAAGTGTTGGGATTCTGGGTGGGAGCCACCATGCCCAGCAATCACAAGGGTCTTTATAAAAGAAAGAGAGTAGGAGATTCAGAATTGGAGCAGGAGATGTGGTGATGAAAGCAGAGGTAAGAGAGGGATCTGATTTGAAGATGCTTCACCTCTGGCTTTGAAGATGGAGTCAGGGGCCATGATCCAAGGAATGGGGGTGGCTTCTAGAAGCTGGAAAAGCCAAGGGAACATATTAGAGTCTCCAGAAGGAATGCAGCCCTGCTGACACCTTGACTTTAGCCTTAATAGACCTAGTTTGGGTGTCTGGCCCCTAGAACTGTAAGATGGTAGATTTGTGGTGTTTTAAGCCACTAAGTGTAGGAAACTGCAAACTATGTTGCAGCAGCAAGAAGAAATGAACATGAAGCCAGGCATGATGGCTCATGCTGGTAATCCCAGCACTTTAGGAATTTAGGCAGGAGGATCACTTGAGGCCAGGAGTTCAAGACCAGTCTGGGCAACATAGTAAGACCTTGTCTCTACAAAAAATGAAAAAATTGGCCAGGCGTGGTGGCTCACGCCTGTAATTCCAGCACTTTGGGAGGCCGAAGCGGGCAGATTACCTGAGGTTAGGAGTTCGAGACCAGCCTGGCCAACATTGTGAAACCCCGGCTCTACTAAAAATACAAAAATTAGCTGGGCATGGTGGCACGCACCTGTAATCCCAGCTACTTGGAAGGCTGAGGCAGGAGAATCACTTGAATCTGGGAGGTGGAGGTTGCAGTGAGCCGGGATCGCACCGTTACACTACAGCCTGGGCAAGAAGAGTGAAACTCTGTCTCAAAATAAAATAAAATAAAATACTAAAAAATTTAGCCAGGCATGGTGGCATGAACCTGGAGTCCCAGCTACTCGGGAGGCTGAGGTGGGAGGATCGCTTGAGCCTGGAAATTTGAGGTTGCAGTGAGCTGTGATTTCGCCACTGCACTCCAGCCTTGGTGACGGTGAGATCTTGAAAAAAAGAAAGAAGAAAGTAAAGAAAGAAGAAATGAGCATGGTGGGCATGGGGACAGATGGCAATGTTAAGTAGAATGGTCAGGGGTGGCCTCCTAAGTGAAAATTGAGTAAAGACTTGAAGGAGGGGAAGGAGGTGGCCAAGGTGCTGAGGGAAGAGGATTGTAGGCAGAAACAATAGAATAAAGTGTCTGAGGTGTGTCTGAGGCTCTGGAAGGAGGCCCATGGAGCAGACGGAGAGAGGGAGAGAATTAGGGGAGGGAGCCAGGGAGTTGCTGGGTGGGGATCAGTACAGATCACATAAGCCCTGGGAGGTTATTGCTGGGGCTTTGGCTTTTACTCTGACTCAGATGGAAACTGCGGGAGGGTTCTGAGCAGAGAGGCGACATGATCTGTCACCTGATTTAAAAGCATTCTCTGGCTGCTGAGTTGAGAAAGACCGTGGGAAGATGTGATAGAAGCATGGGGGCCAAGCTTTGGCAACATCCAGGCGGGAGATGATGGTGGTCCTGACCAGGGTCGTGGTGGTGTTGAGAGATGGTCAGAGGGGAGAAGTAGGGGAGGAGGCCAGGGAGTTGCTGGGTGGGGATCTTTAGTACATGTCGAAGACAGTCAACAGGATTTCCTGACAGACTGGATATGGGGTGTGAGAGAAGGCAGGGGTCAAGGTTGAGTTTGATTGTTACTGAAATTATTAAGTAATTTTAAAAAACACTACTGCCTTTCCCAATCCTACCAAGTATGGGATGCTAGATTAAAGAAATCTCTTCAGGCTCATTGCAGTGGCTCATGCCTGTAGTCCCAGCTGTTTGGTAAGCAGAGGTGCGAGTATCTTTTAAGGGCAGGTGTTCAAGACCAGCCTGGACAACACAGCAAGATCTGCTCTTTACAAAAATATTTTTCAAAATTAAATAAATGTAGCTAGGCATGGTGATGTGTACTTGTAGTTTCAGCTACTCAGGAGGCTGAAGTGGGCAGATCTCTTGAGGTCAGGAGTTTGAGGCCAGCTTGGGCAACATAGCAAGATCCCTCACTCTACAAAAAAATTAAAAAAATAACCAGGCATGGTGACACTCAACTGTACTACCAGCTACTGGGGAGCTGAGGCAGGAAGATGGCTTGAGCCCAGGAGGTCGAGGCTGCAGTGAGCTGTAAGTGCACAGCTGCACTCCAGTTTGGGTGACAGAGCAGGACCTGTCTCACAATACAAATAAAAATACAAGTAAAATAATATCTCAAGTCAGAGCCTTTTGGCTCTGCAGCCCTTGCAACCCCTCAGCCGTGCAGTGGGGTTTGCATCCCTGGGAATGAGGAGACCCCTGCCCGGTGTTGTTGCCTGATTAATCAGTGTTTTAAAACATATATTAATCGGGGTGGGCGCGGTGGCTCACACCTGTAATCCCAGCAATTAGGGAGACCCAGGCGGGTGGATCACCTGAGGTCAAGAGTTCAAGACCAGCCTTGCCAACGTGGCGAAACTCCTTCTCTACTAAGAAAATACAATAATTAGCTGGACATGGTAGTGGGCACCTGTAATCCCAGCTACTTGGGAGGCTGAGGTAGGAGAATCGCTTGAACCTGCGGGGTGGAGGTTGCAATGTGCTGAGATTGCGCCACTTCACTCCAGCCTGGGCAAAAGAACAAGACTTTGTCTCAAAGAAAAAAAAAAAGTAATATATCAACATGTAATGGTTTTATTATTAATATGTAATGAATATTAAATATTTTAAAAATCTTGTATTATATCAACATGTAATGGCTTTAATATGTGATGAATAATATTTAAAAAATTGTGTCTTATTTTCTAGTTTTAATATAATTATCTGCAGAAAGAAATAGTCTTAGAGATCTTCAATAAAGTTAAAAAATGTAAAGGGATGTTAGACCCCAAAAGATTGAGAATTTCTAGTTTAGAAATATTCAGAGTAAGCCACATACAACTTGCTACTTGAACTATTTTTTTTCTTTGCTTTTTATTTTAGGAGATGGGGTCTCACCCTGTCACCCAGGCTTGAGTACAGTAGTGCTATCACAGCTCACTGCAGCCTTGAACTCCTGGGCTAAGGATCCTCCTACCTGAGCCTCCTGAGTAGCTAGGACTGTAGGTATACATGACGATACTTGGCTAATTTTTAAATTGTTTTGTAGACACGGGGTCTCACTTTGTTGGCCAGGCTGGTGTCAAACTAATGGCCTCAAGTGACCCTTCCACCCCTGCCTCCCATCCTCGAGGCATGTGCCACCACAAGGAGCACTTGTTCAATTTTCTAAAAAAAAAATTTCTAAAGTAAGGCTGTGGGATGATGGCAGGAAGATCAAAGAAAAACAGAAGAATAAGTTAAAATGACTTATGCACACATATTCTTTTGACAGCAAGAAGAACATTTAGTATATACATTCCTTACAAACAAACAAAAGGCAGATAAACAATGTTGTATAGGAACTTCAACACACACTGTACAATATTCCCACTTTGCTGACATAAGTTATGGAAATTTCATGGTTTACTTGAGTGTCGCTACCAGTATTTTGCTTCTCTGATGATTTTTATCAACTTCCTCATCTGTTAACTTCTCTCCAAGGTATGTCATGTCATGACATACTGCCTCTGCACGAACGTGGCCAGTGTCTTTCTATTAAACATGTAGAATGCTTTCCTAATTTCTCTTTTTACTGTCTGTCTTTGTGTTCTGCATTTTCCTTACTTTTATTGTCAGAAACTCCAGAAAGTCAATCGTACTAATTTATCACGATTTGCTTTATTAATTTATACTTTGCTTATATGGAATTTTGCCCAGCAGACCTCATTACAATTTCTAACCTGTTTTATTTTGTTTTTTTTCTGAGACAGGGTCTCCCTCTGTTGTCCAAGGCTGGAGTGTAGTAGTGCTATCACAGCTGACTGCAGCCTCAACCTTCCAGGCTGAAGCGATCCTCCCATCTCAACCTCCCACGTGGCTGAGACTACAGGTGCTTGCCACTATGCCCAACTAATATTTGGAATTTTTGTATACGTGGATTCCAGAGGGGTGACAGCGAAACGTGAGTAAGCATGGATTTTGTTATATGCAGAGATGGGGGGCTGGAACTAATTCTGTATACTGAGGGACGACTGTATATGTTTTTACAATTACGCTGTAGGATACATACTGTTGCATAGCCTTGAAAATAATAATTTTTAATTGAGTGGAATAATAATAATATTGATAAAAGTGGCAGCTGGCCAGGTGTGGTGGCTCACACTGGTAATCGCAACACTTTGGGAGGCTGAGGCAGGAGGATGGCTTGAGGCCAAGAGTTTGCGATAGGCCTTGGAAACAAAGGGAGTCACCATCCCTACAGAAAAATACATGAATTAGCCTAGTGTGGTGGCATGTTCCTGTAGTCCCAGCTACTTGGGAGGCTGAGGTGGGAGGATCACTTGAGCCCAGGGAGGCTGAGACTGCAGTGAGTCATGATCAGGCCTCTGCACTCCAGCCTGGGTGACAGAGTGAGACCCTGTCTCAAAACAACAAAAAAGTAGCAGCTAACATCAACTGACCTTTTACCAGGTGCCTATTGATACCATAGTTTAATTTCTTATAACTGTTTCTTATTTCACTTACCAACTCTGTCTTCAGTTACTCCCAGATTTTTACTGTGTGTGTACAGATGACCTTTTGTTTAGATTGAATTGTCTCCCCAGAAGTAAGATTACTGTGAGTCATGGTGAATGGACATTCTCATTACCCTTGATGTAAATTGACAGGGTTTTGGGTGCCTCCCAGCTATAATCTTAGCACTTTGGGAGGCTAAGAGAGGAGGATTGCTTGAGGCCAAGAGTTGGAGGAGGCAGTATGGCAGTATGGTGAGACCCTGTCTCCATTATTTTAAAAAATGGACAGGCTTTACCCTGGAAGGCTTATACACAATTTAAACACCCCTCATAGTATAAGAAAGTGCCCATTTCACTGCACCTTTGCCAGCACAGGGTATTATAATTTAGTAAGTCATTTTTTGTTTGATTATTTTACATAGACAAAAGAACTCATATTACTTTACTTGTCACATTTCAACATCTTTCCTCAGCTTATTAGCTCTATTTCTTTTCTGTCTGTAAATGGTTGTTGTTGTTTTGTTCTTTGAGACAGGGTCTTGCTCTGTCACCAGGCTGGACTGTAGTGGCATAATCATGCCTCACTGCAGCCTTGACCTCCCAGGCTCAAACTTCCGCATTCCGAGTAGCTGGGACTACAAGTGTGCACCACCACCCCCAGCTAACTTTTTTCTTCTTTTGGATAGAGACAGGGTCTCACTGTGTTGTCCAGACCGGTCTCTAGCTCCTGGCCTTAAGCAATCCTCCTGCATTAGCTTCTCAAATTGCTGGAATTTCAGGCATGAGCCACCATGCCTGGCCTGGGCTAGTCCTGTATTCTCTAGAGTTCTCTTTACTTTGTGCTAGCCAATCTCTCATTATGCTGTTCACCTGTTATAATGAATAATTCTCTGTATTAAATTTTACCACTTTAAACTTTTGAGTGGTTTATGCTTCCTGATTGGACTCTGACTAATATGTTAGGAAGGGTCCCAGGAGATAAACCCACACAGATGGGATTTGGGCATAGGTTTGGTTTCCCAGGGGGCAGTGCTGAGCTCTTTGCCAGTGGGAAATGGGATGCTGGTGATTTCCAGTAGGTGACCTCACAGTGACTCAAGCTACCACTTACTGTTGATTGTGACGAAATGCCAGCTGAGGCACATGCCTTGGGAGCTAAGTGGTTGCTGCACTTGACCACTGTGAAGACTGGTGTGGGAAGGGTCGTTTCGGATGCACTTGAGCAGGGGTCCCCAACCCCTGAGCCATGGAGCCGCAAGGAGCCACACAGCAGGAGGTGAGTGGTGTCGAGTGAGGGAGTGAGGGAAGCTTCGTCTGTATTTACAGCCACTCCCCTTTGCTCACATTCCCGCCTGAGCTCCACCTTCTCAGATCAGCAGCAGCATTAGATTCTCATAGGAGAACGCACCCTGTTGTGAACTGTGCATGTGAGGGATCTAGGTTGCGCTGTCCTTATGAGAATCTAATACCTATTGATCTGTCACTTTCTCCCATCACGCTCAGGTGGGACCATCCAGTTGCAGGAAAACAAGCTTAACACGCCCACTGATTCTACATTATGGTGAGTTCTATAATTATTTTATTATATATTACAGTGTAATAATGGAAATAAAGTGCCTAATAAATGCAAATGTGCTTACATCTTTTGGCCCAGCTCCTACCTCCTGGCAGCCTCTCCAGGCCCAGAACTTTCTCCAGTCAGCCTCTACAGACCAAGCTCATGACTCACAATGGCCTATTTAGGCCCATACCCTACGTCACGGCAGTCTCCGCAGATGAGGCTACTGCCTCACAACAGCCTCCACAGGCACAGCTCCATCGTTACAATGGCCTCTTTAGACCCAGCTCCTGCCTCCCAGCCTTCTCTCCAGGCCCTGAACTTTCTCAAGTCGACCTCACCAGGCCCAGCTCATGCTTCTTTGCAGCCTCTCCAGGCCCAGCTCCTGCATCTTGGTGGCCCCTCCAGGCCCAGCCTCTGCCTCCCGTCGGCCTCTACAGTCCCAACATCTGTCTCACAGCAGATTCTTCAGGCCCAGCATCTGCCTCACTGTGGACCCCCCAAGCCAAGCTCCCAACCTTTCAGCAGCTTCTACACACCCAGCTCCTGCCACCCAGTGGCTTCTTTAGGCCAAGCTCATGCTTCACAAGGGCCTTTCCAGGCCCAACTTTTGTCTCATGGCAACCTTCCCTGGCCAGATTCCTGCCTGTCTCCCAGCAGCCTAGACAGGCCCAGGTCTTGCCTCACACTGGCCTCTCTACATCCAGCTTATGCCTCACGGTGGCCTCTCCAGGCCCAACTCCTGTCCCAGGACGTCATCTCCGGGCCCAAAACTTACTCAAGTCAGACTCTCTAGTCCCAACTGCTGCCTCCTGGTGGCCTATGAAGGCCCAAAATCTCCTCAAGTTGGCCTCTCCAGGCCCAGCTCCTGCCTCCTGTCAGCGTCTAGAGGCCCAACCTCTGCCTCATGGGGGCTTCTCCAGGCCCACCTCTTCCTCTTGGCTGGGTCTACAGGCACAACTGCTGCCTCACAACAGCCTTTTTTGGCCCAGTTCCTGTCCAGCTCATGGCGGCCAATGTAGGCCCAAAACTTCCTCAAGTCAAACTCTCCAGGCCCACCTTCTGCTTCCCGGTGGCATGAACCGGCCCAGCTTTGACTTGAGAACAGCCTCTGCAGGCCCTGCTCTTGCCTCCCAGGGGCTTTTTCCAGGCCCAGCTCTTGCCTCATGGCAGCTGCCCCAGGCCGAATTTCTGCCTGCCTGCCAGCAGCCTCAACAGGCACAGCTCCTCCCTCACAGTGGCCCATTTAGGCCCAACTCATGACTGTCAGGCCATTTCCAGGCCTAGTGCCTGCCTCGTGGCTGACTCTTGAAGCCCAAAACTTCCTCAAATCAGCCTTTTGCCCAACTTCTGTCTACTGTCGGACTCTACAGGCCAGCCTCTGCCTCACAGTGGACCCTCCAGACCCAGATGGTGTCTCACTGTGGCATCCTCAGGTGAAGCTCCTGCCTTTCGGCAGCCTCTCCAGGCCCAGCTCCTCCTGCCTCCCAGTGGCCTCTTTCGGCCCAGCCCAGCTCATGCCTCCCGGCGGCCTTCCCAAGCCCCGCTTTTGACTTTCCACCGAAAGTCCCAGCCTCCTGCCTCCCGAAGGCCTGCACAGGCCCAGCCTCTGCCTCACAGCGGACTCTCCTCGCCCAGCTAGCTGTCGCCTCACTGCGGCCTCCCGAGTCCAAAGTTCCTGCCTCTCGGCCGCTTCGGCAGGCCCAGCTCCCGCCTGCCAGTGGCCTCTTCAGGCCCATGGGGCTCATTCCTCACAACGGCCTTTCCAGGCCCAGTTTTTCCCTTCCGGCGGCCTCTCCGGGCCCAGAACCTCCTCAAGTCGGCCTCTCCAGACCCACTTGCATCCTCCGGGCGTCCTCTCCGGGCCCAGCTCTTCTTCCTGGTTGCGTTTCCAGGCCCGACTCCTGCCTCTCAACAACCTCTTTGGACTCAGTGCCTACCCATCTCCTGGCGGCATTGGTCGGCCCACAGCTTCCTCAAGCCAAGCTCCCGAGGCCCAGGTCAGGCCTCACGGTGGCCTCTCCAGGATGAGCTGCTGCCCTCCGATGGCATCTCCAGGCCCCAAATGGTCTCCGGTCGGTGGGCTCCTCCATGCCACTGCTGCATGCCACTGCTTGGGCCTCCATCCCAGCGACTGCTGCAGGCCCAAGTTGTCCTGAAGTCGGCCTCTCCCGGCCCTGCCTCCCAGCAAGTAAGCAAGCTCTTTTGGCTCAACTGCCCAGCTCCCAACCGCCTTTCTAGGCCCCGAACTTTCTGCAGCCAAGCTCTGAGGGCCCACCTCCTGCCTCCCGGTGGCCTGTACAGGCCCAGCACTGGTTGGAGAACAGCCTCTGCAGGCCCCGCCCTTGCCTCCCAGGTGCCTCTCCAGGCCCAGCTCTTGCCCCCACGGCGGCCTCCTGGGGCCAAGTCCCTGCCTGCCTCCCAGCAGCCCGCGTGCGGCCCAGCTCCTCCCTCACGGTGGCCTGTTGATGCCCAACTCATGCCTCTGGCACCCTGCCCAGAGGCGTGAGCCCCTTGCCTCACACCGGCTCCTCCCACGCGGACAGAGGTCAGCGTGAGCCCTTGCCTCAACAGGCCACCGTGAGGGAGGAGCAGGGTCGCACGCGGGCTGCTGGGAGGTAGGCAGGGACTTGGGCCTGGGAGGTCGCGGTGGGGCGAGAGCTGGGCCTGGAGACTCCCCTGGGAGGCAACAGCGGGTTTTGCAGACGCTCTTCTCCAGCCGGAGCTGGGACTGTTCAGTCACTGGGAGAAGGGATGTGGGTCTGAAGAGCTTGGTTGCAGAAACTTCGGGGTCTACAAAGGCCGGCGGGAGCTGAGCCAAAAGAGCTTGTTTGCTGGGAGGCGGGAGATGCAGCCAGGAGGAACAGCTGGGCCATGCGGGAGGCAGAGGCCGGGCCTCCTCAAGTCGGCCTCTCAGACCCACTTGGCAGCCTCCCGGCGTCCTCTCCGGGCCCAGCTCTTCCTCCCGGCTGCGTCTCCAGGCCGGACTCTGGCCCGACTCCAGGTCCCAACAACGTCTTTGGACTCAGCTCCTGCCCAGCTCCCAGCGGCCCTGGTAGGCCCACAACTTCCCTAAGCCAAGCTCCCTAGGCCCAGCTCAGGCCTCACGGTGGCCTCTCCAGGCTCAGCTCCTGCCCTCCGATGGCATCTGCAGGCCCCAAACGGCCTCCGGTCGGTGGGCTCCTCTAGGCCCAGCTTGGGCCTCCTGGCGGCCTCTGCAGGCCCAAGTCGTCCTCAAGTCGGCCTGGAAGTGGGCCTGGAAGAGCAGCAAGTTGGCCTCCCCGGGCCCAGCTCTGTCCTCTCGGCGGCCTCTCCAGGTGCAAAACTTCCTCGAGTCAGCCTCTCCAGGCCCAGCTCCTCCTGCCTCCCAGTGGCCTCTTTCGGCCCAGCCCAGCTCATGGCTCTCGGCGGCCTTCCCAGGCCCCGCTTTTGACTTTTGGCAGCCTCTTCAGGCGCAGAACTTGATCTCCAGTCGGCCTTTGCAGGCCCGGCCTCCTGCCTCTCGAAGGCCTGCACGGGCCCGGCCTCGGCCTCACAGCGGACTCTCCACGCCCAGCTAGCTCTCGCCTCACTGCGGCCTCCCCAGTCCACAGCTCCTGCCTTTCGGCCACTTCGGCAGGTCCAGCTCCTGCCTGCCAGTGGCCTCTTTAGGCCCAGCTCATTCCTCACAACGGCCTTTCCAGGCCCCGTTTTTCCCTTCTGGCAGCCTCTTGGCCTCTAATTTGTTTATCTTTTGTGTATAAATCCCAAAATATGGAATTTTGGAATATTTCCACCATTATATATTTTGGTAGGTAATTTATTTGGAGTGAGTTTCTGCACCATGCCCGATTTTTTTATTTTATTTTCCTTATTATTTGGTGTTAAACAGGTTTAATGATGGTCATGGCAACTTTTTGGCACAGTGAAAAATATCGCCCATGATCAACGTGTTCTGTTCTGGGGAAGGGGGCAAAGGCAGGGTGAATCACTTTCTTAAAAAGTATAGCTCAAGTTGGGAGTGCAGAGGGAATGGGGAGAAAACCCTCCCGCTGCCTGTGTCGAAGTGCAGGAGCCCCCACCCCCATACTCACCTGAGTCCAGCCCTTCTGGGGAAAGAAGGGGTGCATGAACTCCCCCTAGTCCACAGGCGCCTCCCTGTGGCCCAAGGCCCTCTTCACACTCCATCTTGTAGCCCCAGTAGGAGCTATTTTCCGAAAAGTGAAAAGCTCTGAAGGTCCCACAATTCATGGTATGTACAGGGGCTCGGAGGAGGGAAACTGCCCAGCTTTCCCCCGGCACAGCTGCAGGGGTAGGGGGTATAGATAAGAGGAGCAGGCCTTGGCCAGGTGTGGTGGCTCACGCCTGTAATCCCAGCACTTTGGGAGGGGGAGGCAGGCAGATCACGATGTCAGGAGATCGAAATCAGCCTGGCCAAGATGATGAAGCCCCGTCTGTACTAAAAATACAAAAATTAGCCGGACGTGGTAGCGTGCACCTGTAATCCTAGCTACCCGGAAGGCTGAGGCAGGAGAATGGCGTGAACCCGGCGGGAAGAGGTTGCAGTGAGCCAAGATCGCACCACTGTACTCCAGCCTGGGCGACAGAGCAAGACTCGGTCTCAAAAAAAAAAAAAAAAAAAAAAAAAAAGAGGCAGGCCTTACTCCGTCCCAAACTGAAAGGATTAAATGGCTTTACCTGGGAGAAGATAACCATCCTGCCCTCCATTGCTACCCCCACATACTGTCCATGTTCTCAGGGGGTACTGTGAGTCCTGGGATCTTTGGGGTTGCCCACCTGCCTGTGGTAGTTATGGAGACCCCCAGGTGTTGAGGCAGGGCTGGGGTGTCCCCTTCCAACCAGGCTGTCAAGGCCCCAACTCTGGGGCAGAGGCAGTGGCAGGGCAGCCAGGGTTGCGCCAGAGCCTGAGCAGGTTGAGGTGGGGTCAGGCAGGGCTGGGAGTCAGGGCAGGGGCAGCAGCAGTGGACCCGCTATGCACACATCTTCTTCTCCAAGGTTTGTGTGCAGAACATCCTGCCCATGCTGCCCCAGCAGCTTCAGTTGGCACCTGCCCCAGTCCAGCCTCGGAACCATGCAGCGGCTCCCAGCGGCCCTGCACCCACCACCAGCATCCGTTTCACCTGCAGTTGAAGATCCGTGAGGTGCCCAGAAGATCATGCAGTCATCAGTCCCACGGAGCAGCCCGCGAGGCTGAGGCTCCTCCCACTGGACCGCCCCCCAACTGGCACCACTGCTGCCCCTGCCCCTACTCTCAGCCTCACGTGACTCTCGGGCACAGGCAGTGGTGGGGCGGCCAGGGCAGCGTCAAGAGTCTGAGCCAGGTGAGGTGCGGTCAGGACCCCCACAGGGCTGGGAGTCAGGGCTGGGGCAGAACAAACCTTGGAGGGGAAGATGTGTGCATAGTGGGCCTGGAGGGCGGCTGTGGCCTAGTGGACAGGAAGAAGCAGTGGGCCTGGAAGAGCTGCATGATCAGGGCCGGCACTGGTCCAGGGCACGTGCAGTGAAGAGGACAGCGCCTTCTTGGTCTCCGGTTCCCTGAGCCTGTCCTCGGCTTCTCCACCTGTACAGGCAAAGGGGAAGCTGTCCCCATCACACATGGCACACTTGGGGGTGTTGGGCTTTGGACTGCAGCTGGAGCATCTTCTCATCTTGCATTTGGGCGTGGTGGGGTCCTCCAGTGTGGGATCCATGTCCGTGGGGTTCCCTCTGCCCCGACCCCGAAAGCCCAGTCAATTTCTCTTCAGGCTCTGCCCCCCGGGTGGCTCAGCCCAGCTCCTGCCTAGGAAAGCCTTAGTGTTGGGAGGGACCCTGATGACTGAGGAGCCTGGTAGCTCCAGGTCACCCACACTTTCAGGTCTCTTGCACCAGAAGGTGGCAGGATCCATTGGGAGGAAACAGGTCACCTTGGAAGGCATCCCTGGGCCCCCATCCCCAGGGGTAGGGGCCGTAGGGGGCCCGCTCTGCTGCCTTGACCAGACTCCTGGGCTTTGAAGGCTCCTGGGCCCAGTAAGAAGGAGGTGGGTGCCAAGGTTGAGGAGGAAGCATCCAAGTATGTGTTGGAGGAGGACAGGGTGGGACCATAGACTTTGCCAAAAGCTGCAGGTGGATCGGGGGACCCTGGGGGCTCAGGATCCAGCAAGGGGCGGCAGGAGTAAAGGAGGAAGGAATGACAGGTGCAAATACCTTCCCACCAAAGCCCTTGTTGCCCTCTGGCTCCTCCCCAGAGTTGTCCCCACTCTCAGTCGGTCACCCACTCCTTGAACTTGAGATCGGTGTCGGTGGTGCTAAAGCCATCATCAGCAATGACATCATCACCCCCTCCTCCTCATGGATGACCGTGTGCTCCTCGTCACTCGCTGTGTCCTCACCGGCCATGTGCTGGGAATGAGCAGCTCAGGTGGGCAGCAGCAGGGCTGCCCACGGGTCACCTCCCTCACCAGGGGCTGCAAAGTGGCCTGGAGCTCCATGCTGAGTAGAAGGCTTTGGGCCAGAGTATGATGCAGTGCCAGACACCACCTGTGTCAGTTCCCGTAGTGCCTGGCGGTCTATTTCCCTGCCGTCCAGGCTGTGTACCCCTCTGTGGGAGAAGGCTTGGGCCAGGCTGAGCCAGGTTCCCTGACTGTGTGCAGCTGTTCTGCCCCACAGAAGCTGCTCCTTGGTATCCGAGCTCTGGAGTGTTTGGGCTGCAACTGACAGGAGTTCAGAGGACACCCCAGGGGCAGTGGCAGTGCCCGTCTCTGATATGCTCCGCTCCCACGAGCCCTTGTTACACTCCTGCTAGCCCCTGGCTTGTGGGCTTGGCCTCTGAGCTGGACTTCTTTCGGTCCTTGTTGCAAGTGGGCCACCTTCACCTGGAAGGCCAGGTTGTATTTCTGCATCTCATTGGGCCCCAGGGTGTACCACCGCTCGCTCAGCATCTGGCTGATGGTCTGGTTATCCTGGTTAGGGTGACCCTGGTGCGCCCTGCCAGGGCCTGGTGCCGCTTGCTGAAGATCATGACCGCCACTCATGGGCCACCAGATGTGGTCCTTGTCCCATTTGTTGGGGTTGCGTCCATCCTTATCAGAAGATGAGTCCTGTTCCTTGCGCAGGGCACTGAGGGACTGGGCCTGACATCATCTGAGTGGTAGAGGCAACTGGGTGTCAGGAGACATGATGGAGAGGAAAGCATCATCATGGTCATTCTCTGTCTCACTGTCCAGCAGGGACTCTCCTGAGGGGCCCAGGGCTCCTCCTCCATGGTGGGAGGTGAGCTTTTACCAGGTTCCACCACCCGCAAAGTGTGTGGGGTTGCAGGCCCTGGGCTTTCAGGGCAGATGGCTCCAGGGGGCCGCCCAGGGTCAACACTCCCTGTCCCACCTGGTGGACGCTCATGAGCAACAGCTGCCAACTTGGCAGGTTGTTTTCTCTGGTTGGAGGCCACTGAGTGACTGGCAGGTTGCTGGGCCTCGTGTGGCTGCGGGGGGTGCGTCAGGAAGGGGATGGAGTACCAGGGGAACACGGCCACAGAGTGAACTTCCACATTCCTCCACACGAACATGCTGACGCCACGGGAGGCCTCACTGAACGCAGGCCTGAGGGCCGAGTACTTGGTCCGGGCAGGGGGTTCCTGGCAGGGGCTCACACCTCCTCGCCCCCTCCTCAGCCAAGGTGGCTTGGGCCCAGAGAAGGGGAGGTTGGAGAGGAGCAGAAGGCCAGGCCTCAAGTTTTGTTTTTTTTGTTTGTTTTGTTTTTTGTTTTTGAAATGTAGTTTGACTCTTGTCACCCAGGCTGCAGTGCAGTGGCACGATCTCAGTGGCCTTCATACCTGGCTAATTTTTTGTATTTTTACTGGAGGTGGGGTTTTGCCATGTTGGCCAGGCTGGTCTTGACCTCCCGACCTCAGGTGATCCACCCACCTCGGCCTCCCAAAATGGGATTACAGGCATGAGCCACCGCTCCCAACTTCATTCATTTTTACTTGAAAAACTCCCTTAAGCATTTTTTTAAGGTAGACCTACTGGTCCTGAATGCCCTCAGCTTTGTTTGTCGAGGAAACACGTTACTTCTTCTTTCTTTCTGAAGGACAGCTTTGTCAGACATAGTATTAGTTGCTGGCAGTTTTTTTCTTTCAGCACTTTGAATGTATTATTCGATTCTGTCCTGACCTGCAAAGTTTCTTTAACTTTTGACTATTTGATTATATTGTGACTTGGTGAGTATCTATTTGGTTTGAACCTCTTTAGGAATCTTTAAGCTTCATGGATTTAGATGTCTAAATCTTTCCCATGATTTAGGCAGTTTTCAGCCATTCTTTAAATAAGCTTTCTTCTCCTTTCTCTACTTTCCTTCTCAAACTCCCATAACCTGACAATGGTTTGCCTAATGGTGTCTTGTTGGCTTTCTTTTCTCTGTCTCTTTTTTTTTCTTTTTTTTTTTTTTTTGAGACAGAGTCAGAGTCGTGCTTTGTCACCCAGGCTGGAGTGCAATGTGTGGTCTCGGCTCACATTGCACTCCAACCTCCGCCTCCTGGGTTCAAGCGATTCTCCTGCCTCAGCCTCCCAAGTAGCTGGGACTACAGGTGTGTGCCACCACACCCGGCTAATTTTTGTATTTTTAGTAGAGATGGGGTTTTGTCACGTTGGCCAGGCTGGTCTTGAACTCCTGACCTCTTAATCTGCCTGCCTCGGCCTCCCAAAGTGTTGGGATTACAGGCTTGAGCCACCACGCCCAGCCTTCTTTTCTCTTTTTTATTCTTTTTTTCTTTGTTCTCTGACTGGATAATTTCAGAAGATCTATATTCAAGTTTACAGATTCTCTCTCCTGTTGAAGTTTACTATTGTGTTATATCACCCAGTCTGGTCTTGAACTCCTGGGCTCAAGCGATCCTCCCACCTTGGCCTCCCAAAGTGCTGAGTTTACAAGCATGAGCCACTGCATCCAGTCAGTCCCAGCACTTTGGGAAGCTGACGTGGGAGGATCACTTGAGCTCAGGAGTTTGAGACCAGCCTGGGCAACATACTGAGAACTTGTCTCTATATTAAAAAAAAAAAAAAAAAGTCTTTGGGAGGCCAAAGCGGGAGGATCACCTGAGGTCAGGAGTTCGAGACCAGCCTGGCCAACATGGCAAAACCCCATCTCTACTAAAAATACAAAAATTAGCCAGGTGTGGTGGCACACACCTGTAGTGGTGGTGCATGCCTGTAGTCCCAGCTACTCAAGAGGCTGAGGCAGGAGAATCACTTGAACTGGGAGATGGAGGTTGCAGTGAGCTGAGATTGCACCAGTGCACTCCAGCCTGGGCAACAGAGTGAGACTCCATCTTATAAAAGGAAAAAAGAAAGAAAAGAAAAATTCCATATCTGAGTGTTTACTCCTGAGTTTTTGAGATTGTTATTAAGATCGTGCTCTACTGTGATGATTTAGGTTTGTTTGATAATCAGAAAAAAGCATATTCTTTTGGGTGTTCAGCCACACTGCTTTGGTGTCACAACTGCACATTGGTTTCACAGTTGCAGGACAAATTCGAGCATCTTAAAATGATTCAACAGGAGGAGATAAGGAGGCTCGAGGAAGAGAAAAAACAACTGGAAGGAGAAATCATAGATTTTTATAAAATGAAAGCTGCCTCTGAAGCACTGCAGACTCAGCACTGATACAAAGAAAGACAAACATCGTAAGAAGCAATAGTTTCTCTTACTATTCTGAGAGCCTTATCATTCTACATCCCATCTTCCTGTGAGATTGTCTTTGTAGCATTTAACTCTAATTGCAGTTCTCTTTTTAAAAATTGGCTTGCTTATTGTATATTTTCCCCAACTAAAGCGTGAACTCCTAGCAGGGCGTGGTGGCTCATGCCTGTAATCTCAGCACTGTGGGAGGCCGAGGTGGGTCGACTACCTGAGGTTAGGAGTTTGAGACCAGCCTGACCAACATGATGAAACGCTGTCTCTACTAAAAATACAAAAATTAGCTAGGTGTGGTGGCTGGGACCTGTAATCCCAGCTACTTGGGAGGCTGAGGCAGGAGAATCACTTGAACCCTGGAGGTGGTGGTTGCAGTGAGCCGAGATCTCACCATTACACTCCAGCCTGGGCGACAAGAGCAAAACTCCATCTCAAAAAAAAAAAAAAAAGGATGAACTTGAAGGCAGGTCCTGTGTCCATCTTTTCAGATTCTGTATCCCAGCACTTAGGACATAGACAAACACGAAGATGACAATCAATATTTGCCAAAATGAAAAAACAAAAGAAACATGTAACATCATGTAAAAGAAGCTGGTTAGGTGGAGAAATTTCTTTACCATAGTCTTGCTTGTGGATCCAGTAGTGACTTTTACATTTTATATCTAAATAGAAGCTGGAGGCTTTGTTGGGTACTCATAGGCATAAAATATTATGTTATTTATTATAGAGTTAAATGCTACAAAGACAAATCTAATTAATAGGCCTATTTTCCTTTTTAAGTTCTACTCATAATTTCTTCATAGTTTTTATGATAAAAGGTTGGATTTTGATTAGAACTCCCATGCTTTTGTGTCAGAATTAAAACTGGTATTAGAATAAATAATTCAAAAGCTAGAGAAAGAGTACAATGAGAAGCCATGAGTTGCATTTGAATTATAATATTATGTCTTACAGATTTGGGGTATATGCTAAAGTTACCAAAGTTGTAGAAAATAAGGCTGGGCATTGTGGCTCACATCTGTAATTCCAGCACTTTGGGAGGCCGAGGTAGACGGATCATTTGAGGTCAGGAGTTCAAGACCAGCCTGGCCAACATGGTGA
Source organism: Homo sapiens (assembly GCF_000001405.40). NCBI lineage: Eukaryota > Metazoa > Chordata > Mammalia > Primates > Hominidae > Homo > Homo sapiens. The sequence goes on along the minus strand of NC_000001.11, from coordinate 243,046,600 downwards.
AACTCCGTCTGTACTAATAGTACAAAAATTAGCCAGGCGTGATGGTGTGCACCTGTAGTCCTTGCTACTCAGAAAGCTGAGGCAGGAGAATCGCTTGTACCCAGGAGGCAGAGGTTGCAGTGAGCAGAGATTGTGCCACTGCACTCCAGCCTGGGTGACAGAGTGCTATGAGTCACCACACCTGGTATGAGCCACCGTGCCTGGCCCACAATGACTTTTACACATGTTGTTAAATCATCTTACAGATTTTATAATTTGGGGGAAGAAAAGTTTTACTAAATGGTCTTTTAATGGAAACTCTACAAGAACCAGAATCTTTGCTTTGTTCACTTATGTATCCATTCCTAGGCCTAGAAAAATGTCTGACACATAGCGGCAATTATTCATTGAATAAATGGACCCAGCGATAGTACATTAGCTGTGCTATATGCATACATTAAAGATGTAGATTATTGACTTTCAAAAGATAATTAATGTAACTTCTTACTGCTTCTGAACATGTTTGTGAGTTATATTGCTGAGGGACCTTTATCTTCTCATTCTTTCATCTTAACCCAGTGTTATAAAATTGAAATCACCAATATTATTCCATATCTAAAATTAATATCTACCTTGTAAAAAATATCACTCTGCTGCATTTGACAATAGACTTTTTAGGTAATAATGATGCAATCCATAGGGTTTTTTGGGGGCACAGAGGGATTCATGCTAACAGAACATTTTATTTTCTATTTTCCCAGAGCTGTAAAACATGAAATTGGGGTAGTATAAGGCATATTTTTACTCTTTTTATAATTTTTTCTAAAAAAAATTAGTGTTTGTTCCCTATATAACTTTTAACTTTATAGGTAAATATTTGTCTCTTTCAGCTCCAGTTTTATGTGAAATAGAGTTTTCAGATTTATGTAGCATGGAAAGTTTTAATACGTCAGAGTTACTGATTTTTGCCATTTTCTCAATTATTTCTTTTTTATCTTTAGTTGATTTTTTTGTAGTGACACATTTTGTTTCTAGTCTCATTTCCTTTTGTTTATATTCTGTGTATATTTCGTTTTTGGTTACTATGAGAATTACATATAACATCCTAGAGTTATAACATTTTAATTTGAATTTATTTCAACAAGTTCAATCACATACCAAAATTCTACTGCTATACATATAGCTCTACTCTTTTTATGTTATTGATGTAACAAATTATATCTTTATTCATTGTATACCAGCTAACAGATTTACAGTTACATTTTATGCATTTGCCTTTTAAATTATGTAGAAAATAAAAAGCAGAGTTAGAAACCAAAATTACAATAGGACTGTTTTTATGTTTGTTTATGTATTTACCTTTACCAGAGAGCTTTGTATATTCATACAGCTTGCTTATTTACTTATATAGTTATTGCCTAGAGTTCATTTATTTCAACCTGAAGGACTTAACACTTCTTGAATGGCAAATTCAGGGATAAATGGATTTTTTTTCAGTTTTAAAAAAAAATCCGGAATTGTCTTAATTTCTCCCTCATTTTTGAAGGATAAGTTTTCCAGCTATAGATTTCTCAATTGACAGGTTTCTTCATTATTTTAAATATATAATCGACTGCCTACTGGCCTTCAAGGTTTCTGCCGAGAAATCAGCTGCTAATGTTATCTGGATCCCTATCTGTGAGAGTTGCTCTTCTCTCTGAGTTTTCAACATTCTCCCATTATCTTTTGTTTGTTTGTTTTTGAGACAAATAATTGTACATATTCATGGGATACAGAGTGATATTTTGATACATGTATACAATGTCCAATGATCAAATAAGGATAATTAGCATATCCATCACCTCAAATATTTGTCATTTATTTGTATTGTGAACAGTCAACATTCTTTCTTCTAGTTTTTTAAATTTATAAACATTTAAATTTTATTACAGAAATTTAAATTTTTTGATTCTGAAAAAGTCATATATGTATGCAACATCGTTTTATCATTTATTTATATATTTATGCATCTTTCCTTTTAGTTTTGACAGAGATTTTCTATTTTATTATTATTTCAAAAGAACTCTTACCTGTATTTATTTATCAATTATATTTCCCTTGTTTTTTCCTAGTATATTAATTTATTTACTTATCTTCTAAAAATCCTCCATATAATCTGTTTTGTTTCCTTTCTATAATTTCTTCAATGATTAGTTCTGTTCTATTTTCCATTAAAATATTTAAATCTCATATGAATTTTTGTCAGATTAGAAATTTAGGGCATTTCTTAATTTCTCTATATTCTAGCTTTTGACTTTTTTTTTCTGACCTAAGAGGTATTTAGAGCACATTTTAGATTTTTTATTTTGACTAATCATTTAAAATGTGTACTAATCTTCAATTTAAATAAAAAACTGGTCTATAGTGACAAAAATTACAAATGAGCCTGACTAATAAATTATCAGCTGTGTTTATATGTATAAGCATGCACAGATTTTGGTAAGTATGTACATAGTATATTGGTGAGCTTATTTTTGTCATTCTTAACTCATTGTGTAGTCTAAACGCTGGGGAAAAAATAAAATACAATAATCAGATGGTGTGAATAAGAAAATTGTTCTACTGTTTGTAAACCAAGCAACGGTTTTAACTGCTCCCCTCTTCCTGATTGACTTCCAAAAGGGATTAATCCATATTGGGTCCTATCATATATGTCACGGTATAACATCTCCAGCTATAAAATGGAAATTTGAGAATAACTTTGCTGCTACTCAGATACATTTTATTTCAAAAACATACACTAAGGTGTTGCTGTTGGATCTTTCCAAAAACATATTCACACAGAACTTTCAATCACACTGAGCCATATTTGAACAATCTTTCAGGGTCAGCTCTGGCATAAGCTAACATTATACCATTTAACTCAGAAATTTCTTTAGTATTTGATTAATGAGTTTATGTTTGATATGTAATGTAATTTTCTAATGCTAAATCAAGTGGTAATTTTGTTAGTCAAGTTGATTTAGTGGCTTGGGAAGAAAGCTTTTAATGTTCCCCTAATTTTTCTTACCTTTGACATGATCCTTCACTGTCTTATTTTGCTTACTGATTTTTCTTTTTTTTTTTTTTTGAGACAGGTTCTTACTCTACCACCCAGGCTTGAGTGCAGTGGTGTGATCACAGCTCATTGCAGCCTTGACCTCCCAGACTCAAGCTATTCTTCCACCTCAGCCTCCCAAGTAGCTGGTACTACAGGCACATGCCACCAAACTTGGCTAATTTTTGTATTTTTTGTAGAGACAGAGTTTTGCCAAATTCTCAGGCTGGTCTGGAATTTCTGGGCTCAAGTAATCCTGCCTTGGCCTCCCAACATGCTGATATTACAGACATAAGCCACAGTACCTGGCCAGTTTTCTTTTTTTAAAAATCTATTGGTTATTAATTTGAAGCCTTCCTTTTCATAGCTGTGCTCCTTAATTGGGAGCAAACATGAATGGACCACAACTTAGCCAATTTTCTATATACAATCTTTGCCATCCTAATTTAAAGGGATATTAATTCTTTCTTTTCCTCTTTCATTCCACAAACCTGTATTGACTACATCTAAGTTCTAAATGGTGCACTGGATGTTGAAAAAGTTGATGAGCAAGAACAAAATTCCTCCTTTCAGGAGACTTACAGTTCAATATGGGAAACATAATTTGTTAAAATATAAAAGTGCAATTGTGTTACATGCTGTACGAAGTACATGTTGACATGTGAGTATATAATAAATGGGCTGGAGGCCAGAGGATTGCCAAAGAGAATGGGCCTCCTGCTGAGATGAAAAGTTGAGCAGGGATTAGTTGGCGAAAGTGGAGGGACGACTCTTTCTAGGCAGGAGGAAGAACATGTACAGAACCTCTGAGGTGTGATGCGACAAAGTCTATACAAAAAACTGAAGAAAGGTCTAATGTGGCTTAAATACAGAAGCCAGTAGGAGAGGAGTTGAAAAGAGGCTGGAAAAGTAGAAAGTGTCTGCATTCTGCAGGAACTTATATTGTATAAAAAGAATTTCTCTTTATTCTAAGTGCAATGTGAAGCCAATGAAGTGCTTTAAACAGGTGATGCGATTTGATTGAATTTATTACTTCACTTAACAAATATTCATTACATGCCCACTGTTTGTCAGATATTGCTGTAGCCCCTGGTGATACAGTAGGGAATAAAACAGGCAAAAATCCCTGTCCTCTTGCAGCTTATAATGGACTGCAATGTTTAATATGTCAGAGGAGGTCCACGGAGGAGTGACTTCTAAGCAAGAATCTGAAAAAAATGAGGATATCTAAGGAGGGAACAAATGGTTCAAAAGCCCTATAATTGCAAGCAGGCATGATGAAGCAATTGTAGTTGTCCTGACTCTCAACACCGTGGAACTCAAAGGAGATGGAAAGATTCTTTCTCTCCCTCATATATTTTCTCTCTGTCTATATATATAGAATATGAGACATTTCCCTGATCATTATGTGTAATTACAATTACATATATATATGTTTATATATTACATACATATATATATGTAATTGTAATTACACATAATGATCAGGGAAATGTCTCATATTCTCAGAAATAAGCAATATAGCAATTACTGTTTTTTACATTTTACAGTTACAGTTTCAGAGAAAGTTTGATATTTATCTAAAATTTTTCAATGTATGAACTTTTTCATTTGGCAAACCATAATTGTACATATTCTTGGGATACAGAGTGATATTTCTTTACATGTATAGAATGTGTAGTGATCAAATCAGGGTAATTTCCACTAATTTAAAATGCCACCTTTATGTTATTGTAATTTATATATATACTATATATATACACACACACACACATATATATATACATGTCCACATACAGTGTGTGTGTGCACATGTACACACATGCATATGTGTATATAATGCCCAGTATAAGCAATGTGCACAAATAAAATTAGCTAACAGAGATAGTATAGAGTGAGAGGAGAGGCAGATTAATCTTTGAGGAAAAGCACAATTTTATGGCTGAATGGAGAAAGCTGAGGTGGTTTCTAAGATGGAGAATAAGACGAAAAATGTAAGTACGTTGTTTGACTGAATTCAAGAAAGAAGGGTAAAAGAGAAGAAAGTAGTGGTCTTATCATTAAATGCCACAGAGAGGTAAAGATAAAAACAACGTATTGTTTTGGGTTTAGTAATTTAAGGGTTACAAAATTCCGTTTTGGAGGAGGAACAGATTCCATGTCCACTAGAATGGAATGAACAAGAAATGGAGGAGGAAAATAGGTAGTTTTTCAAAAGTTTTCAAAAATATGAAAAGAAGAAATGAAATGGTACTTGGAAGAGATTGTTGAAATGGGAGAGACTATGGTGGCTTGTTTAGAAGCAGTTGAGATAGATCCAATTGAGATAAGAGATATTGACTATATAAACAAAAGAATGACAAATTAATAGTGTAATGGATAACTTGACTTTGGCAAATATTGTGAATTTTTGTGAAAGTACAACTAAAAGGCAATGTCACTCCAATAATCGCCAGAGTAATCAATTTGCTTATTGCTGTCCCTTTAAATATAGTTCTCTGGTATCAACTAACATGTTTTTAACTAATGATGCTTCTTAAAGAAAAGGGAAAAGACCTTTTTCTTTCTTTCAGTCCTCAATGATTCACTGCTTCATCTCGCTCCACCAAAGATAAATGAAATCTACATCTCTTATACATTAACAATGCATGACAATTTATAAATAGCTAAATTTTTGGAGCTAACTTTAAGTACCTGAATGGAATTTAATCAACCCACTAATCTCCTTCTCACTTCTCAGTTATTTATCAAGTTTATGTCAAGGGACAAGGAAAAATTATCCAAACATTGTTTAAAACAATCATCATTAATTAGTAACACTTATCCAGGGGGGTTTTTAACCTTTCCCCCACTCAAGGATTATTCTAATGTCAGAGTAGAATAAAAAATAAGTGCAGCGATGCTGACTCTTCCAAGCTTAACATTTCTCACAAGTCAATTAGCTTTGTACTGGGAGGAGGGCGTGAAGGGCTGCTTGCGGTAGTTGTGTAGCAGCAGCACAATGGCCGCAGACAAGGAAAACAGTTTCTAGGAATTCCTCGTATATAATTTTATATTTTTGACAAGATTAATGACCCATGCTCCCTTCCTCTCCATTTCTTTTTTTGGAGTTCTGTTGGTATGTAGTTACTGTATTTTATTAAAGGAAATTAGCCTTATCTCTTATTATATTTTAATAAAGAAAATTATTATATTATTCCTTTATATTTTTATTAAAGGATTTTATTATTATTATTAAAGGAAATTAGCCTTATCTCTTATTATATTTTTTATGACCTTCAAAGTAGTGTCTCTGCTTAAAAGTGTACCCTGGCCGGGCGTGGTGGCTCACACCTGTAATTCCAGCACTTTGGGAGGCCGAGGCGGGTGGATCACGAGGTCAGGAGATCGAGACCATCCTGGCTAACATGGTGAAACCCCGTCTGTACTAAAAATACAAAAAATTAGCAGGGCATAGTGGCGGGCGCCTGTAGTCCCAGCTACTCAGGAGGCTCAGGCAGGAGAATGGCGTGAACCCGGGAGACGGAGCTTGCGGTGAGCTGAGATCGCACCGCTGCACTCCAGCCTGGGCGACAGAGCAAGACTCCGTCTCAAAAAAAAAAAAAAAAAAGTGTACCCTGAAGCACACATCAAGCGACATGTAGAGTTCATAAATTCTGGCCAAATGGTCATACCTCAAACCTCATCAGCACTAAGGCTCTTTACTTGCACTGACAAATATTGAACGCTGGGGAATTTGGAAATGATATATAATATATAATATTATATATATAATGGATATATAATATATAAGATATAAGATATAATATATATGTAATAGATATACAATGTTATATATATAATAGATCTATAATATTATATAATAGATATATAATATATGTACAATAGATATATAATATATAATAGATATATAATATATATATAATAGATATATAATATTATATATATAATAGATATATAATATTATATATATAATAGATATATAATATTATATATATAATAGATATATAATATATAACTTTCCATGTGATTTTCCTCTTAATTTTTTTCTAGCTGATCCATATGAATTCCTCTTATTAAGAAAAATAAAGCATCCAGGATTCAATGAAGAACTGACTATCACCTTGTTAATCATTCAGAAACATGTTGCAGACTTAAGCCATTTTTGATATAGATACTGAAACAATTACTTGCTAAGAGCAAACTTGAAGGTATGGATAAGGCCCTGAGTCATCTTCCTGAGCTGAATGATAGTTAAGCTGAATGTACGTATAAAATATGATTTTCTAACCACTTGCTCGCCAACAAGGAAGACTTTTAAGTAGAGCAGAACCTGAATAGACAAGACATTTCTTTCTTTTGGTAGAAAATGATTTACCATCACTGTCTAGTTAATTGTAGACTAGGTAATTTTAACTTTGTGATTTATTGCCAGAGACATTTTCTTCTGTACTGTAAAGTGTGTGTCAAAAAAAAGTAGCGATTTTGGAGGATTAGGGGAGTTTGATAAATTGCCTGCAATTCTGGCAGTATGAACTGCATATTAATTTCTCTCTTTCAAGAACATTTTTATTTATTAATTCCTTACAAAAACTCCCTGAACTTTGGAACAGCTCTCAATTGCCTGTATTCTTTTTTTTCTTATTATGGTACTCTTCTAGAGATTTGGCTTGCATCTATGAATAAGCCAGGACATCTTCAGAAATTGTCTGATTAAAAACACCACCAATGGAGTTGCATTAAATTTGTATTGCTCTGACTAGTGAAACACACACATCTATGTTGCTGAGGATATTTTACTGCAGTTTGAGTTGTAATAATAGCTCTGTTTAAGATCCGTCAGTCACTTGAATCTTCTCTAAGGCTTTGTATGTTAGAAGTTAATTTTGCCTTCTTACAAGGCCACATTCTATCTTGTAACTAAACAACTGAATTTTATGTCTTAGCGTAGATGGTTTATTACTTTCTGGTTTTTCTTTAGTAAGAATCCTATAAAAACACTAGTATTTTTCTCTGAGTTTAAAATTCAACACATGCCTACTGATATGGTTAGGCTTTGTATCCCCACCTGAATCTCATCTTGAATTGTAATCCCCATAGCCCCCATAATCCCCACAGGTCAAGGGAGAGACCAGGTGGAGGTAATTGAATCATGGGGGCAGTTTCCCCTGTGCTGTTCTTGTGATAGTGAGTTCTCACGAGATTTGATGGTTTTATAAGGGATTCTTTCCCCTTTGCTCGGCACTTCTTCATGCTGCCTTGCGAAGAAGCTGGCTTGCTTCTCTTTGTCTTCCGCCATGATTGTAGATTTCCTGAGGCCTCCCAAGCTGTGCTGAACTGTGAGCCAATTAAACTTCTTTCCTTTATAAATTACCCAGTCTTGGGCAGTTCTTTATAGCAGTATGAAAACAGACAAATACACCTACTATGTAAAACTTAAAATACAAAAAAACAAAACATTATCTCACTAACATAGGAGCTAATATTTTGGTGTACTTTGTTTAGTATTTTATATTAAAAATATGTACATATATATTTATATATAATTAAGAACATGTATGTACAATCGTGCATACATCATGTACATACATCTACTTAAGAAAATAGCTATGTAATATACCATTACTCAACTAGATTATAATTTTTTCTCCATTTATTGTAATTTATCATTTTCTACTTTTTTGTTTTCTCATTTTTATTGCATAATATTTAATTATGCAAAAAATACATTAAATACATTGAAAATATATAGTGTAGCTATAAGAATAAAGAACGATGGTAAAACAAATGCTAATACCCACTACCTGACTTAAAGAATATGATACTATTTTTTTCCAATTGAAATCCCCTCAACTACTCAGAATTACTGCTATCCCTTTTATCCTTTCATTAATTTTCTTCTAGTTTTCTCACATGTGAATCTATTTCTAAATACATTTCTTTATTTTGCAAGTTTTTGGACTTCATATAAACGTAACCATATTGTATATATTCTTCTTCAGCTTCTTTTTCACTAAACAATATGTTTTGCTGATACTTACATTCATATGTACAGTAATAGTTGATTTATTTTAATTGCTATATATTATTCCATTGTTAGAATACACCAGGATTTATTTTTACTTATTTTTTTTGCTGGAAAATTGGGTGTCTTTTTTATTTTTTGATATAACAAACAATGTTGTAATCATTTTGTATTTACTTCCTAGTCCACTCCTGTAAGTTTCTCTTGAGTACATACTAGCAATGAAGATGCTGAGTCACTGCATATACATACTCACAACTTTATTCTATAATGTAATATTCTATAAAGTAGCTGTATCAGTTTATACTTTAACCAGTAATGGACAAGATTTTCTGTTACTTCCCATCTTTGTTAATTATTACTTTTAGACTCTAACTTTTATCAGGCTCATGGATGTAAAAAGCATCTCAGGGTGGTTTTAATTTGCATTTATCTGCTCATCTATGAAGATGAGCTTCTTTTCATATAATTATGAGTCATTATTTTTGTTTTGCCTTCTTTTGTTTATGCATTTTGCTTGTTCTATGTGTTATTTTTCCTGTTGATTTTTGGGGGTTCATATATATTCTAAGTGTATATTTATTCACTCATATATATGTTGCAAATATTACAGTTTATGATTTGTCACCTTATGATATCATCCAAATAGAGAAGCTTTATATTTTGATGTAGTCATATGTTCATTTTTACTCCTTAATGTTTGTTTTTCTTGGTTCTATGACCTACCAAAAGTAACAAAAATTCTCATTTATTTTTAATCTAAATGTTTTAAGTATTTTCCTGGAATTCACCTTGAATTGATTTCTATTGGAGATAGGTATCCAATCTAATTTGCCTCATATGGATAACCGCTTGTTCTATTACTGCTGTAACAAATTTCTACAAACTAAGTGACCTAAAATAACACAAACTTGTCATCTTACAGTGTACACAAGTCAGAAATCAGGCATGAATTTTAGTGAACTAAAATCAAGTTGTCGACAGGCATGTTTCTTTATGGCGGCTAGGGTAGAATCCATATCCTGGCCTTTTCTATCTTCTAGAGAACATCAGCATTCCTTTTCTCATTGCCTCTCCTCTCTCTTTTTAAAGCTGGCAATGTCACATTTCTCTGACCATTCTTTCATTGTCACATCTCTCTCTGGACTCAGCTAAGAAAGGTTCTCCATTTTTAAGAATTCATGTGATTAGACTGGGCCCATCTGGATAACCCAGGAAGATCTCTCCATCTCGGTTTGCATCCTTAATCACATCTGATGAGCCTTTATTGCATTCAGTGTAACATATTCACAGGTTCCAGGGTTAGGCATGGGCATCTTTGAGGGCCATTATTCTCCCTACCACATTATTTGCCTAGCATCTTTCATTACATTGTCCATCTATTTACTTACTGATTTCTAATGACATCCAAATCAGGTACAACATTTTATGTAAGCATTGTTTTTATTTTTATGTTATTCCACTAGTCTATTTTTCTACTCATGAATTATGGTACATGAGTTTATTTTTGCAACTTTAAGCTCAATAACATGTTTTAAGATTTCCTCAACTTTCTTTTTCCACTTCTTCAGAAGTTGACTCTTTTGGCCCTTTGGTCTTCTGTACACATTTTAGAAATGCTTTGTTGAGGACTAAGAGGAATGCTAAGATTTTGATAGGAATTTCATTGATTTTTGAGTATATTGGCATGCTACAATGGTTAGTGTTTTATACATGAAAATAATATATCCCTTCCTCTTTTCCTAGTATCATGAGATGTTTGTTAGGCAGACATGAATATTGAGTTGTATCAAATGTGTTTTTCTGCGTTATTGTGGTGGTGATGTGATTTAGCTCCTTTAGTTAATGTAATGAATTACATTTGTAGATTGCTCTAACTATTGAAACAAGCTTGAATTTCTGGAATAAGCCCAATGTGATATTTATTCAACAAATATTCATTGAGTATACCTAGTATGTAACATGCTTTAAGAATACGCCAGTGAACCAAACAGAAATATCTGACATTACAGAACTTAACATTCCAGTATTTGGAGACAGACGATAAAAAAGTGAACATGTATATTTACAGTTTGTCAAGGAATGATAAATGAAGACTCTTAAAGTAGATGGGGAATTGGGAGTGAAGTCTGTAAGTTAAATAGGGTGGGCAGGAAAGCTTCACAGAGAATGGGACATTTAAGAATAGACTTGAAGGACAGGCAAGAGCAATCTCTATGTTTATATGGGAGAAAAGGTTCCAGGCAGATGCAGTAACAATGGAAAATATCCTGAAGTAGGATCATGCTGGAGTTTTTGTGGAGCAGCAAGGAGGCTAGTGTGACTGCCACAGAATCACCCAAGGGAAGATGAGAAGATCAGACCAGACCAGCACTTGGGCATCTAAATGGGAAAAGTTTCTCAAGCCATCATAAAAATTTCACTTTTACTATAAATACTACGAGAAACCATGGATGTTTTACAGTAAGAAAGGTGGCATAATATGTTACATGTTTTAAACAAACTCTATAGCTTCTGAGTTGAAATAGATTGTAGGGGCTCATGGCAGAAGCAGAGGGAACATTTAGGAGACTACTGTAAAGAATATCATGAAAAGAACAAACAACGCTATGTAACATGCTTAAATGGACTGAAGAAGATGTATAAAATCAAAATGATGTTACCTTCACACCTTGAATCAGTACGATAAACCCCCCTCCCCAATCACAAAAGAAAAACTAAACACAAAAACCAGGCTTTGGTTGCTCAGACAATTTTACAGGTGAGTTCTAGCAAACAGGCAAAGAATGTTTAATTGCACTGTTACAGAAATTCTTCTGGAGACAAGAAAATAAGACACATCACCCAACCAATTTCATGATAACAATGTCAATGTATAATAACAAAAAAGTGGATCTCCAAAGAAATAAATTTATTTAGAAATAAACAAGGATTATAATCTGAGATATTTGTGCTATGATGAATCATAGGTGCATCCCAAGAGGTTGAGGTAAGGAAAATATTTAAAGACAAAAAGAAGTCTATGCAAGCTGTTTTGAAACAAACATCATTGGTCACAGGGCCTGATGCAGGAGCTGGTGTTAACTTACTGGCAGAAACAGCCATTGCTAGGCCAGTGTTCTTGTGAGGGTGGCTTATCTGAAATGCTGCAGTCTTGAGGAATTTTTTATGATAGGTCCTATTATAGAGACACCTACAGGATGAGCTGGACAAACAGAGTGTGCTGGGTGGGCAGAAATTTCTTGTGAGTTTATAGAAAGTCCTTGTGATAGTGCTTATCGTGGACACACACACAAGATCCCCTTTTTCACGACCCGGCTCCACTTTGCTTTGGGTCTGATGTAAGTGACTTTGCCTTGTCATTGGCAACTTTCACTGTAGTATAATCTGCACATTAAAGTTACCTAACAATAGTACAAAGAAAGAAAATTAAAGGTATATCTCTTTCAAAAATATAAACCCCAAAATTGTTAGGAAATTGTAGTGAGTATAAAAGATAATTCATTATAATAGACATCTCAAGCTTCACAGAATTCTGACCTTTGCTACACTCTCATCCACAATCTTTTCTCCTAGTAAATGGCAGCTCCTTCTGTTAAGTTGCTGAGGCTTCTTATTGCTTTTTTCTTCAAATAACAGTCAGAACTGAACAACTGTAATCATCCTAGTCCATACAATTGTTATATTTTCATTTAAAGAAGATCAATGTGTGATTCTTTTTTTTATATATTTCTGGACAATTCTTTATATTTTAATAGTAGTCAGAATTTGATCAGGAAAACAGAAGACATCCTATGTATTATAATGATAAAAGTTTAATATTAGTTAGGGCCTTATGCTATTATTGGAAGAGCTTGGTGAATAGATATTAGAAAAGCAGCTAGACAAAATCAGAAGAGGTCTGTTTTATATCAGAGATCTTAGCCTGACAGTCTAGAGTGTGGGCACAGAACCCAAGCTTATAGGAATTTCTGAAAGGTCTGTAAATCTTATCCAGATGGACAGTGGGAGCTCATAAAGAATTCTGCGAGCCATCACATCTGTCAAACCTGCTATGTCTAATCCTTAAGCCTGCTTTATGTGAAGACCTCCTCTTCACTCCTCACTTCCAGCTCTCATGAGTTTCTTTCATAGGCAAACCCAAACCTGGAACAATGTGCCTGAAGACTTCGGGTGACACAGTACCCAAACTTAAATAGGAGGGGAGCCATGGTGGAAGTGGCCATCCAGCACAATTTTCTTGGTCTTTACTCATAGTTTTGATTCCTTAAAAAAATTAACCACATTAAAATATGTGTTTCATAATCTACATCTAATAATACAAATATTTAAAGTCTTTTCAAGTTTGAATATGCTACCCATGTTGCTGCTACCCCCATTTTGTGTGTGTGATTTTTGTGTGTGTGTTAGAAGCTCATGACCTTTGAAACCTGCTCTTATGAGCTTGCTTTGATGATTTATTTGTCCAGAGAGGATTTTTTTTCCTACCTAGCATTTTGGACTGCTATCAACCTGAGACCACTTTGAATTAAATTCTCAGCTTGCAAATTTGGAAGCCACACAGATTGTGTGAGTTCAGGCTGAAACCTGTTTGAGAGCTGGATTCTGGCTATAAACTCCACAGGGAACATTTTCTCTCTCCACTCAGAGCTGAGACCATAGGGAAATTTATTTGCTAGCTCTTTTTGAAGGTTTATTTAATTTATTTTTTTAATTTCTAGTACACGTGCTCACTGAAGGTGTAATACTTATGTGAGAATCTCAAAATCAGTTGTGTTCTTTGTATGACCCTGGTTTTGTTTCCTCCTGCTCTCTTACTTTCAGTGTGTCTCAGTATGTCTGCTCAATATGTCATCTTAAATTTCAACTGAGGGTGGATCTTCTTCCCAGCTCACTCACATGGTTCTTAGCTAGATTCAATTTCTCTCCATTTGTAGGACTGAGGACCTCAGTTCTTCACTTAGGGTTGGCTACAGGTAATCATCAATTTCTTGTAACAGGACTTACACTGGGCCACTGACAGCATGCCAGTTGGCTTCATTCAAATGAGAGGGCAAGAGAAAGAGAGGGAGAGGGCACAAGATGAAATTCACAGTATCTTATAATCTAATCTCAGAAGTGGCATCTCATTACTTTTGTTCTATTCTATTCAATAGAAACAAATACCTGGGACCAGCTTATACTATAGGAAAGAGATTATATAAGGGTATAAATACCAAGAGGTAGAGATCATCAAGAGCCATTCTGGTAGCAGCCACAATATCTTATCCAGAATATTTCTTATTCAGGCCTTCAAATGTGCTGTCTTTTCTGGTCTAATGGAAATGAAGCTTCCTTCCATAAAATTTTCTTCTCCTAAATTGTACTCTGGCTCTCTTATCACATACAAACGTCTATGTTAGGTATTTGTGTCTGTCTTGATTCTTGGTAGGCTTTTAAACTCTGTGAATGTTGGACTGTGATGTAGACATCATTTCACCGCACACTCTGTAACCACCAAACCTTAGCAGCTTATTCAGTAAGCACATACTTGGCTCTTAATGAGTATTGCTTAAATTGATGAATTGAATTAGTATTTTACCTTCTCTGTTGCTTAGCTAAGCAGAAGAATTTGTCATTTTTTTAATTTAGTGACTGGTTCTATTAAAAGTTACCTTTGTTTATATCATTTTGTTATACTAAAGCACAAATGTATAAGGTCAAAAAACATTCTCAAGATTTTGTTTAAACCACAGCCGTCGGTTGTGTATATTTATCTCTTGTTTTCATATGCAAGATTTCTCCTGAAATGGGCAACAATTACAAGAGTTTTTTTCCTCTTCTGAACTAAGAAAATAAGTATTTAATTCACAAGTTTAGAAAAGTGAACCTGAAAAATCACAGGGCTAGGTGGGTCATGAGGCCCACTGGTACATGATAGTGTTGAATGTGGATTAGAATGAACTCCGTGGATTAGAATCTCAGACCATAGGCAAACATTTACTTGTTTTAGAATAAGCACATTTGAGTCTGCAATAAGTATTACTATTTTTAAGTTGAAAATGTAATTGGTTTCTAATAATAACCATATTGGCTAGCATTATTTCAATCGTGTTTAATGTTTTCCAATGTCATTTCATGTCAGATATCTCTCTTGATTCTTAGTAACAATTTGGACAAGACAGCAAATGCTATTGTCCAAGTTTTCTAAAGAAGAATCTGAAGTGAAATGACATCAAGAGACCTATCAAGACCTGTATCCAGGAAAAGGTAAATCTGAGCTGAAATTGTAGCCCTTGTAAATTACCTACGTGACATACCAGATAGTGTTCATGATCCATTTAGTACTCTGTTCTAAAAACGAGACAATATCCATTTATTCACTTGTTCATTTATTTAGTGTTTGTTCAGCCCTTACTGCATATTCCAGGCACTATTCTGACTGTGGCAGGAGTGAACAAACAGGCATGGTTCTTACTTGCATGTAATTACAGTCTTATAGTGAAAACAAGTGTTAAACAACAAAATCTCCCAATTATTTTAAAATTATAAACTTGATTCGATACTATGTGGCCATATAATTGTTCCTAATTTGGTTGGAGAAGGGAGGCAGTTAGGGAAGCCTTCCCTGAGTTAGTGCCATTTAACCTGATTTATGATAGATGATAAGTAATTTGTCAGGGGAAAAATACTCCAGGAATAAAGAACAGGTACAAAGGTCAGGTTCTGGGAAGAGCTTGTCTTGGTCCAGGAACTAAAAAATGTTAGAGTGGCTGGATCTGGGAAAGAGACAAAGAGTTATTAAATGAGGCAGCAGGCTTCAGCAGGTGCCACATTGCTCAGGGCCTTGTAGGCCATGCTAAGGATTTGGGATGTTAATGTCAGTACAAACAATTGAGTCATAAGCAGAAAGTAAAAGCATGATTCCATCAAATGTTATTCTCTAAACAGTAATTTTATAAATACAGGTTAAATGTGTGTGGTCCCAGCTACTCAGGAGGTCCCAGCTACTCAGTATTCCTTTTCAACAAATATTACGTGCCTACTATTAGCCAGGTACAGCCCTTAGCTACTTTGAATGAAGCATGTATTACAAACTGGCAGAATTTCTTAAACAAAGAATCTAAAGTTGTTTATACACCATAATCTCAGTATTTTATAAATTTCTTGAAATTATTTTTATTTACACTGCTTTGCAGAATTTTAACTGGCTTTGAAATAAACAATGACAATAGTCCTCCATGTTACTAGTTTCAAATTTTCCCAATACCTACTAAGACATTACTTAATCCACAGATTTACTGTCAATAGTTTGTATCAAATTGTGATAACATATTTGAAATTAATATTTCAAATTAAAGCAAAATCACAAATTTATACTTTATATTATGAATGAGATTCACAAAAGGAGCATGATAATATATTCTGTTGTCATCACATACAAAATAATAACATATAGAGTATGAATCAATAATTTTTCAAATACAAAGCTATTACAATTAGGAATACAAAGAAATCATAATTAGGAATACTTCTACAATATTAACACACAATAGTGGTAACACTTGCAAAATGATGGTGGTGTTTTTTTTGTTGTTGTTGTTTTGTTTTGTTTTCCCCGACAGAGTCTTGCTCTTGTTGCCCAGGCTGGAGTGCAATGGCGTGATTTTGGCTCACTGTGAACTCCACCTCCTGGGTTCAAGCGATTCTCCTGCCTCAGCCTCCCTAGTAGCTGGTATTACAGGTGCCTGCCACCACACCCAGCTAATTTTTGTATTTTTAGTAGAGATGGGGGTTTCACCATGTTGGCCAGCCTGGTCCCGAACTCCTGACCTTAGGTGATCCACCAGCATCGGCCTCCCAAAGTGCTGGGATTACAGGTGTGAGCCACTGCGTCCAGCCAGTGGTGGGTCTCATATCTCAATGTGGACTTTTACTAACTCCCGTTGCCTCAGTTTCCTCATCAGTTGAAAGGAATGAATGAAAGATATGTGTTTTTCATATTACCAGGTAGAGGATAAGGAGATTTTAATTTTCTTTTTTTTTTTAACTTTTATTTTAAGTTTAGGGGCATTTGTTACATAGGTAAACTGGTGTCACAGGGGGTTATTGTACAGATTATTTCATCACCCAGGTATTAAACCTAGTACCCAATAGTTATCTTTTCTGCTTCTCTTCCTTTTCTCACCCTCCACCCTCAAGTAGACCCCAGTGTCTGTTTTATTCTTTGTGTTCATGAGTTCTCATCATTTAGCTCCCACTTATAACTGAGAGTATGCTGTATTTGGTTTTCTGTTCCTGCATTAGTTTGCTAAGGATAATAGAAGGTCCATCCATATTCCAGCAAAAGACATGATATCATTTTTTAGTGGCGGCATAGTATTCCATGGTGTATATGTACCACATTCTCTTTATCCAATCTGTCATTGATGGGCACTTAGGTTGATCCTATACTTTTGCTATTGTGAACAGTGCTGCAATGAACATTTGTATGCATGTGTCTTTATGGTAGAATGGTTTATATTCATCTGGGTATATACCCAGTAGTGGGATTACTGGGTCGAATGGTAGCTCTGCTTTTAGCTCTTTGAGGAATCACTATTCTTTGCACAATGATTGAACTGATTTGCACACCCACCAACAGTGTATAAGCATTCCCTTTTCTCCATAGCCTCACTAGCATCTGTTATTTTTTGACTTTTTAATGATAGCTATTCTGACTGGTGTGAGATGGTATCTCATTATGGTTTTGATTTGCATTTCTCTAATGATCAGTGATGTTGAACTTTTTTTTTGTATGTTTGTTGGCTGCATGCATGTATTCTTTTGAAAACTGTCTGTTCATTCCCTTTGCCCAATTTTAATGGGGTTGATTGTTTTTCTTTTGTAAATTTCTTTACATTCGAAATGTTTTTATTACTAAGTTGAGCTGCCTCATTCTTAGTATGGTTTTTCACTTTAAAAAGCATAAGGGTGGACATGGTGGCATATGCTAGTAATCCCAACTACTGGGGAGACTAATACAGGAGGATTGCTTGAGCCCAGGAGTTCAAGACTATAATGTGCTATGATCATGACTGTGAACAACCACTGTACTGCAGCCTGGGCAGAGTGACATAGTGAAACCACATCTCTAAAAAAAGAGAAAATGTAATTTAAATCTTTAAATACATATGTATATGTGTGTATATATGTATATATATTGCATATATCAGAAATGGTTTGTAGTTTCCATTCACAGCACATAGTAAAATGTCTTAACCTCCTCCCTCCTCCCTATGTGTGTTTTTCTAAGTGTGCGTCTTTTTTACCTTAATTTTTCTCTTAGTGTCTCATAGTCTTCCTAGGTCTCCCTCTTTCTTCTGTCTTTCACACACACACACACACACACACACACACACACACACGCATGCGTACACGCATGTACCTTGAAAAATAGCTTTTCTTTTTCTTAAAACTTCCCAAAGCTTTCATAAAATTAGCCCTCAGGCACTCTTACGTATCTCATCCACTCTTCTTCCTCTCTCCCCTTCCTGAAGCCATTTGTAACTTACTCTATTACACTAGGAAGGGGAAGCAAATATTCATATTATTTTCTTGTTATATCCTTAGCATTACTAGACCTTTGTGGTTTCTATGGATGAGGGACATAATATTTATTGATTTATTCTAAACTTCAGTCACTCATAATATACCCTTTTATTCCTCCTTCTTCTGTGATATTGGGAGTGTATAGTTGTCATTGTGACAAACCCTTTGCTGTCAGTATCTAAAGTGGGAATATAATTGAGGACTAGATGTTCCTGTTTTATATCCTACAGGGCTGGCATCTCTAATGCTGAAAGTACAACAAAGTGCAGTGGTAGTCACTGAGTGTTCAGCCATGCTGGGTCATCACAAGAAAAGGAGATCGTCTTCCCATTCCTATCAATGACCTCATCTCTACCAGATATATAACTGGAAAAACAATGCATTTGCTTAAACATCCACAGTGAGCCACACTTGTTTGGTGTTGTGGGGAAATGATGGAGAAGCATCCTTGTTTATTAAGGATCCAATTTTGATAGGCTGAGGCATATTTTTCCTCCCAAGTCTGCACATGGTCATGCATTAAATATTAATGAGCATCTTCTCTCTATCAGGATTTGGGGGATATGTTCACCTCTTGGGAGGTGAACATGATAAATAAGATCCTTTCTCTCATGTAGCATTCTCTCCATTCTTTTTTTTTTTTTTTTTTTTTGATAGGGACTAGCTCTGTCACCTAGGCTAGAGTGCAGTGGTGCAAACATGACTCGCTGCAGCCTTGACCTCATGGACTCAAGTGACCCTCAAGTGATCCTCTTGCCTCCACAACATCCAGCTAACTTTTAAAAAATTTTTTGAAGAGAAGGTTTTGCCATGTTGCCTCAGCCTCCTGAAGTGGTGGGATTACAGGTGTGAGCCGCTGCACCTGGCCACATTTTCTTTCCATTCTTGTGGAAGGCAGTAGTCAGCAAAACAGTTAATCAATTGAGAATATATTAGGTTGTTGTAGGAACCATGAAAAAATAAAATAGAGTGTGTAAAGAAGGCTTGATGGCCAGGAAGCTTTTACAGGGAAGTGACATTTGAACTGAGACCAAATACTTAAAGAAGCCAGTTCTTTGAAGAGTTGACGGGAAAGTATTCCAAGAAGTGGGAATGGCAAGGGGAAAAGACTTAAGATGTAACCTCAGAATGATTAAGGAGGAGCATGGTACAAGAGGATGTCAGAAACATAGCCAGGAAAGAGAGCTATGCTTAAGTATTAGGATTTTATTCTTTGCAAAGGAAAAGCCCATTGAAGCTTTAAAGCAAGGACCTAAGAGTTAACATAATTTTTTAAGGTACCTTAAAAATTTTGCTGAATGAAAAATTCATTGAAGTGAGTCAGGAATGTATGATTTTGGACAACTGACACAATGCCTGAGGCATAGTTTCTTCATATGGAAATTGGAGACAATGATCATATCTACCTTAGCGGATTATATAATGAATTATTTTCCTAGGGCTCCTGTAATAAAGTACCACAAACTGGGTAACTTAAGCAACAGAAATTTATTGCCTCACAATTCTAGAGGTGAGAAGTCCAGATCAAGAAGCTGGCAGGGCTAGGCTGCCTGAAAAGGTGCTAAGGAAGGAACTGTTCCAGTCCTCTTTCTCTCCTTCCAGTAGTTCCTTGGCTTGTGACAGCACAGTGTCAATTCTCATATGGCATCCTCCCTGTGTGCCTGTCTCTATGCCCAAATCTCCCTTTTATTTAAGGACAGAGTCACAGTGGATTAGAACACCCCCATAACATGAAGATTGCATGAAATTATATACATAAATAATTCAACAACATAGCTTCCAAATAGAAAACACTCAGCCTTTGTCATCTCATCATTATTTGTTTCCACCTTTGTATTACTGGTATAGCTCTAGTCTTTTGAAAGGTGCAGTTACTCATCTTTGTGTTTTCCACTCCTTTATAGCAAAGTGTAAGGTGCTTTTGCAAAATCCAGTACTGCATATTTGAGAAATGCTTTTTATTCCTACACATACTGCATATACTGTTACACAATTCGATTTTGTAGGTCTAATGAAGTTGGTCTTTCTATGAGTTCCTATGGCTAAAAATAGTCACAATTGTGTATTCCAGTAAATTGTTAGAATGAAGGAAAATAGTTTGAGTGAAATTATCAATCTGGTTTTTCTGACTTCAGCTGTGTGTCATGTTTGGTTAGTCAAGAGAAACATCTAATGTGAGGCCCCTGGAGGACAGCTGATAAGTAAGCATACCAAGTAGAATGGCTACTGGAAAAAGTGTGCCAGCTAGAGAGAGAGAGAAAAGAGAAAGTTAATTTACCATTTGCTCAAGTAAGGAATGATCCACAAATTCAACAAAATCTAAGTAGTCTTAAAGGACATGTCATTGACAGATTTATCTTCTAGTCTCCCACTTTGTCTAACACTGCTTCAAAACAAAGCAATTTACTGAACCCAGTGGTCTCATTATTCTGGAGGTTTATAAGGTTAAAAATACCTGGAGTTTTGGGAGCAGCAATAGCACTGAAGTGGGATATTAGTAGTGATGCGTGTGTTTGCAGCACCTGTGAACACACAGAGACTGAAGCTTGAAGGCTGATGACACTGAGTTAGGGGAAAAGATAAAACTTTTTATTAGATTTTTTTAATGTCAAGAAGAAAATTATTTATCTCCACATTTCTTGAATATTATCCTCTTACAATTAGGTCAATGATTCTCACCCCAGTTATACATTAAAATTACCTGGAGATATATAAAAACTATCAATGTTCTACTCTTCTACAGATTAAATCATCATCACTGAGGGTGGCCCTCCAGCAACCAGGTTTGAGAACCACTTCAGACCAGAATTTTTCTCTGTGCCATTCAGTAATGACAAGATAACTGTAGGATACGCAAATTGCAGAAAGACAACTGCAAATTATTTCGCTTATCCCCAAACAGCTGAACTATCTTAAGCCTCATGGCTACTTTAGAGTGACCAAATCCATGTAGACGCCAGAAGTTGTGTCATACACCTATTTCAAGGGACACATAGAATTTACCTATATATACCTACCTCAAGGGTCATGTCGGTTTACCATTCCCCTAAACAACAGCTTAATAGTATAAACTGCTGAACTGCTGTCTGCCTAATATTTATTGTGGCTATACTTCTTCTTTTCTGTATTAAAGGCCACTGCTTCTCCCAGCTTGCTCTTTGTTCTCCATCATCTGTTGTAGGTCACTTGTGCTTTCTGTTTTTAACACCCGTGTTGCTGAAGTCATTTCTCCAATTCATGATCCATGAAACTACTTCAGCAGTGAAAATGGCACCCCTCAGGTTCAAGTCAACATTTTTATATTTCCCTCCAGGTCAAGATCCAAGCTATGGAAGAAATCAGGATATGTCAATTTTCTAGAGCAGCCAAGTTTTCTAAAAGTCTACCTAGCCATGTAGTTATGTAGCCTCACTCTCACTTAAACAAAGAAAATTAAAAAGCACACCAGAAAAGACTTTTCTTGTTAAAAACACATGTTTATTGTAGAAAATATAGTAAGGAAAAGAAGAAAATATAAGGCAACTAGAATTTCTCTAGTTAGAGATAACTATTATTTATTTGAGTGTGTGTATATATCTATATATATATATTGACCTTCAGCTCTTATGTACTAGATACACACATCTACTCTTTCATAAGCTTTTTTCACAGAATAGATTATAATCAGTTAGTTATCACCACAACATTTTCTTCTTGAAGACCTTCTGGAATGAGGCATTTGCTTTTCTATCTAGAGACCCTATCCTTTCAAAAGGTCCTTTCTCTGTGGAAAGAGCTATTCTGGCCACAGTTACTGCCAAGAAACGAGGTGTTAGAAAAGGCCTAAAGTTAAGTGCAGAACTGCTGTGTTTTGATGAATATTCTGTTGTTTTGAGAGGAGGTAGAAGCATTCTCAGCTTCAGGATGTTTGCTCACTACTCATTAGTCTCTCTGAGAAGTAGCAAACTTCAAAGGTTAAGTATGAAGAGATGAATTGTGTAATGCCTAGATGTCAGTAGCGGAGAAGGTATCTGAACAAAGTCAGAATTTTATCCCTGTCTCCATGGGCCTAGTGTGAAGAACAGTCATTTGTGTAAGTGGGTCTTTGTGTATATGGTACTGAATCAGGTCACTGAGTCAGAAACTTAGAGCTGTAAGGAAAGTGAGGTGCTCTCCAGTCCAGTGTTCTGGAATTTCTTCTGCAGTGGCCCCCAACAGCAGGTGGCAGCCTCGTCCATGATTGTATTCTTAAGTGACATGGTATTACTCTTTCTATTTGCAATCCATTTCACTGATGGATAGTTCTAGAGATCTGAAATATTGAGATTTAGCTCAGTGTTGTTTATATGAAGATAAATTCCGCTTTCCAACAACTCTCTTGTATGTGTCTAATGTCTGCCGCATGGAATGTCACAGATTATGCTTCATACTTGTCTTCCTGAGTCTTCTTTATCCCGAACACGCTGAGTTTTTGAATGGTTGACATGCCAGCTGGCTTTCTGCAGATGTACTTCTCGTGTGTAAATTTCCTTCTCTGTGAGGTATTCATATTGAACATGACCTCCAAGTGTGTTTGGGTCTGTGCAGAAGACAATAGGACTGTGATTTCTGATGATTAAAACCTGGATTGTATGTTACTGTCATCAGACACTGAGATTGAGTTAGCAAGTTTTATAGCATCTGAGTCGCTCTGTTGGAGGAAAGTGCATGTGATGGGCATTTGCTTGCTTCCCCACCAGATTCTCTACCTTCACCCTTCCTGCAAGATTCCCTAGGAAGCTGACTTCTGCTGAATGCAACACTCAGGTTCTCTGCTTCCTAGATTCTAGTTGAGTTTGGTCCATGGGAGGCCTTGGCAGAAATTTTGAGAGTAAGAGCAAATAATTACTTAACCATTAGAAAAAAATAACATGAATGTGTCCTTCTATCCATGGCCTCAGTTCCTGTTGGGGAGCCTCGGTGCCAATCCCTCGGTGCGTCACCATTTCTAATTAGTTCCTGTTTTAGTCTGCTTTTGCGCGCGCGCGCATGTGTGTGTGTGTGTGTGTGTGTGTTGTTATAAAGGAATACCAGAGGCTGAGTAATTTTAAAGAAGAGAGGTTTATTTGGTTCACAGTTCTGAAGGTGTGCAAGAAGCATGGTGCCACCATTTGCTTCTGGTGAGGGCTTTAGGCTGTTTCCACTCATGGCAGAAGGGGAAGGGAAGCTGGCATGTGCAGAGATCATGTGGCGAGAGAGAGGGGTTTGTGCCAGGCTCTTGTTAACAACCAGCTCTTGTGGGAATTAAGAGAGCTAGAACTAGGTGGGCACGGTGGCTCACGCCTGTAATCCCAGCACTTTGGGAGGCCGAGGCAGGCGGATCATCTGAGGTCAGGAGTTTGAGACCAGCCTGGCCAACATGCTGAAACCCCGTCTCTACTAAAAATACCAAAAATTAGCTGGGCATAGTGTTGGGCACCTGTAATCCCAGCTACTCTGGAGGCTGACACAGGAGAATGGGTTGAACCCGTGAGGTGGAAGTTGCAGTGAGCCAAGATCGCACCACTACACTCCAACCTGGGCAGCAAGAGTGAAACTACATCTCTAAAAGAAAAAAAAGAGAGCGAGCAAGAACTCACTTGGATGGCACCAAGACATTCGTGAGAGGTCCACACTCAGGACCAAAACACCTCCCATTAGGCCCCCCCTCCAACAATGGGGATCACATTTCAACATGAGTTTGGAGTGGTCAAATATCCAAACCCTAGCAGTTCCCTTAACCCTGGAAAGAGACCTTTCATTAAACTCTTTCTGCTTAATCCTTTGAGAGTGGAACAATTTCCTGCTAGGACCGTGACAGATAGAGGGACCATACAGATCACTAAAATGCTGAGGAATTTTTCAAATGAACTGCACCCAACAGACCTCCCTGATTCTGAATATATCAAACCTTTATTTTTTATTTTATTTTATTTAATTTTTTGAGACGGAATCTCACTCTGTCGCCCAGGCTGGAGTGCAGTGGTGCGATCTCGGCTCCCTGCAACCTCCACCTCCTGGGTTCAAGCGATTCTCCTGCCTTAGCCTCCCGAGTAGCTGGGACTACAGGCATCCACCAGCACGCCCGGCTAATTTTTTATTTTTAGTAGAGACGGGGTTTCACCATGTTGACCAGGCTGGTCTTCAACTCCTGACTTCATGATCCGCCCACCTTGGCTTCCCTAAGTGCTTGGATTACAGGCGTGAGCCTCTGCACCCAGCCAAACTTTAAAAAAAACCCCAAATAGTACTTTGAACTTCACCCGCAGGGAGTTATTCAAATTGGTTGTCAGCCAGTTATTTCAGGTTGTTGAGATCATCTGGCTCTTGATCTTATTAATCATCTTAGCCTTCCCTTTCAACAATTTGCTGACTTTGTGCAAATTTTATTAATATGTGATCTCTGTCTTTATCCATGGAGAGGCAGTATAGTATCATGAGGAAAAATAGACTTTGGAGTAGGCAGAAATTAGGTTTGAATTACTAGCCACGAGGCTTTGGAAACATTACTTAAACTCTATAAGCTTCAATTTCTTTACCTATAAGGTAGGTATAAAACCCGAAAGTTTTGACATGAGTTTAGTAAAACTGTCTGTGAAGCCCTTGTGGACTGCTTGGTCCATGTAGGCATTTGATAAATGGTGGCTTTATATAGAGGAGGGAAATGCAAGCTATCTCAAAAAGAAATCAGGGAAATAAGAATGCCATCTGAAATCTGTCATAGGAGAATGAAAGGAGCATAGACAGGTTTTGAGTGTGGGGTGAGGAGTAGGGGAGGGGAGGAGATAAGTGAACTGCCCCTCAGACTTCCAGGGAGGAGAAAAATGATGTCACTGGGAACTGCAGTCATTTGAAAAGATAGCAATCAAGCATTTCTTTCGGAGCCCTGTTCATCTTTCAGTGGCTTTGCTTCTCCAGATGCTTTTGCTCCTTCAATTATCTCTGCCTTCTCCCACTTCCTGTCCAACCATCTCTTCCCTTCCTTAATTCACAATTTTTCTCCCTCTTTTCAAGGCATAGTGCTTTGATTTATAAATTAGTTCTATGTTTCTGTTTTCTAATTTATTAGTTTCTGCTTTCTTATTTATTTATTTTGAGATGGAGTGTCACTCTGTTGCCCCAGTTGGAGTGCAGTGGCATGATCTCGGCTCACTGCAACCTCTGCCTCCCAGGTTCAAGAGATTCTCCTGCCTCAGCCTCCCAAGTAGCTGGAATTACAGGAGTGCGCAACCAAGCCTGGCTAGTTTTTGTATTTGTAGGAGAGACAAGATTTCACCATGTTGGCCAGGCTGGTCTGGAACTCCTGACCTCAGGTGATCTGCCTGCCTCAGCCTCCCAAAGTGCTGGGATTACAGATGTGAGTCACCGTGCCTAGCTTTCTTTCATATTTATTAATACATTATTTCCACTTTCCTAAGGATAGTTGTTGTTCAACCTTTACTAGCTTTTTTGTTGTTCATACTTAATACATTTATTTTTATTGTGCTATAGCTATTTCCCACATGTGATTTTTTTTTTTTTTTTTGAGATAAGATCTTGCTCTGTTGCTGAGGCTGGAGTGCAGTGATATGATCATGGCTTGCTGAAGCCCTGAACTCCTGAGGTTGGGTGATTCTCCCACCTTAGCCTCCCAAGTAGATGGGATTACAAGAAGTACCACTATACCTGGCTATTTAAAATTTTTTTTTGGTGTGTGTGGAGATGGAGTCTCCCTATGTTGTCCAGGCTGGTTGTGAACTCCTGGCCTCAAGTGATGCTGCCACCTTGGCATCTCAAAATGCTGGGATTACACATGTGTAATATTTTTATTATCACCATTTTCCACATATTCTGGAAATTTTATTTGGATTTCTTTTTTTTTTTTTTTTTGACAGAGTCTTGCTGTGTCACCTAGGCTGGAGTGCAGTGGTGCAATCTCAGCTCACTGCAACCTCCACCTTCTGGGTTCAAAGAATTTCTCCTGCCTCAGCCTCCTAAGTAGCTGGGATTACAGGCATGCGCCACCAGGCCCTGCTAATTTTTGTATTTTTAGTAGAGACAGGGTGTCGCCATGTTGACGAGGCTGGTCTTGAACTCCTGACCTCAAGTGACCTGCCCACCTTGGCCTCCCAAAGTACTGGAATTACAGGCATGAGCCACTGTACCCAGCCTGGATTTCTTTTTGACATAGAATTATTTAAGAGAAAGCTTTTAAATTTCCATGCCGTAATTTCTAGTTTTGTTGTGTCATAATCAGAGAATATAATCTGTAGCATTTCTACAGTCTCTACTTTGCTTAGATGTTTTTGCGGTGGGGTGTGTAATATGTACTCAATTTTGTAAACATTTTATGGACATACAAATTTCAATGTTTACTTTTTCAGGCTATAGGCTTTGCTACATAATTTTTGTGTATTTTGTGGTTCTCATATAGATTTTTAAATTATCTTTTTGCTGTGATAGAGATTAGAAGGGTAAATTAATGTCTCATTTACCATCATTTTTCTTTCTGTATTTCTTTTCATTTCCTGATGCTTTGGCTTTATGAAATCTTTATGTATAAAAATTGTGCACACATATCTTTATGCACAGTGTTTTGGATTTTACCCTTCATAATGAGCTTTTTTCTCTCCTTTGAATTTGACCTGGCCTGGTGTTAACAGCCCAGGTGTAAAATTCCAGTGAGAAAGAAGTCTGATGAGGAGTCAGTAGGATCTTTGGGTTGCTGAGAACTGCTCAGTACCACGGACAGCTCCCTGCACTCCAGGAAACATCCTGATTCAGTGTCTTGAGTATTGTGAAGCACAGTTAGAGCAGAAACATGGAGAATCACCTTAAAATGGCAAATTGGCTTCTGGTCTTGCATAAGACTTCATTGAGGCCTAATGGGCTATGCAGGTCTACTGTCCAAAGTACAGAGGTTATTCCTAGTGTCTTTAATATTACTGTCCCTTTAGGCAAGATTATCCTTATGATAAGGGAGACTGAATTAAGCTATTTTGGCTGAGGCATATTTTTATAAATTCATCCAATTAGCTTCCCTTGTTGTAGTTTTGGCTCGCCAAACATTGTTCTGATTATAATTTAGCATCCCATATAATTTCATCTGCAGGGAGAGTCTGTACTAGGCATGACGATGCTTACATATCAGCCCATGTGACTGCAAGAGTCTCAGTATAATTTGATAACATGGCACTCAGATTCTAGACATTATTCTCTGTGTGCTTAGTGAGTGTGATGACATAACCTTCAGAAAGATTCATCCTTTCTCACATATTGATAAATCAACTTTTACATCTACAAAGTTGAGAGCCAGAAATTAAAACCTTATTAATTCACTAAGGCATCCCTATGACGGCAGTCTTCCAACTAGCTCCATTCTGGGGCACTCTGACATCATCGTACACTTTCCAATGAAAGCAGGGAGTGTATGTGATTAAAGGGAGAGCCCTGTGGCACTCCTGAAAAATCTCCCCTCCCAGTTCACATTGACTTATTAACCAACACTCATGATCATGTGAAACTCTAGAACTGGATCTGGGTGCCTGGCAGGATGACATGGTGTGAGGCTCAAGCAGCACTGTGGGAATTCAAGCATCTGTTTATTTCTGAGAGAAAAAGTGTAAAGCAAAATAATATCTTTTAACAAACATTTGTATTTGACTAAAAAGGAAGCAAGCACTTAGAATTTCTGAATTTGCTAATTGCTCTTCTGAGCTGAGAATATCTGTGTTGAATATTAGTCATTATCCAGATTTGGCACAGAATAATCCCGAGGGTTAAATGACATTGTTCCTACAGTGGGCACCTGAAGACTGGCTATAAAAGCAATCCTGGACAGGGGCGGTGGCTCACGCCTGTAATCCCAGCACTTTGGGAGGCCAAGGTGGGTGGATCACGAGGTCAGGAGTTCGAGACCAGCCTGGCCAACATAGTGAAACCTCATCTCTACTAAAAATACAAAAAAATTAGCTAGGCATGGTGGCAGACACCTGTAATCCCAGCTACTTGGGCAGCTGAGGCAGGAGAATCACTTGAACCTGGGAGGCAGAGGTTGCAGTGAGTCGAGATTGCACCAATGCACTCCAGCCCAGGCGACAGTGTGAGACTCTGTCCAAAAAAAAAAAAAAAAAGAAAAAAAAGAAGAAAAAAAGAAAAAGGAAAAAAAAAGGAAAAATAAATAAATAAGTAAATAAATAAATACATAAAAGCAACCCTAACACTACTGAGGCTATGACAGTGGCACTTTGCTCTTCTGTTAGGACCTTGGGAAAATTTTTTCCCCCTGTATACAGTATAATAAACTTGGTTCTTATTTCTCTTTCTCTCCCCCTCATTTTTTCTTCCCTCCCCACTACCACATGCACACACACAAATAGACAGATTTGTTTATATTTGACTTTCTAAAAACCTGTTACTAGAAAGGCACATTAATACATTTCTCCTGTGCTGATAGTAATCAGGCAACTCTGGTTTCTATCGGAGGCAATTTCTTACGTATTAAATGCCAGAAAAAGGGCATCCCTCCATTTTTGTAGAGAGCCTTTCTTTATGAAGACTAATGACCACATTAGTTAGTCAGTCAGTCAATAATACTTACCAAATGTCAGTAGAGCAGAAGTGAACACCAACAGAAAATCACATTTTACAAATGCAATTTACTTGGTATCCTAACATGCCATGTCATAATAATTATTGAGGCTTTTCTTCTCTGCTGCATTGGTCTAATGAATGTGGCTAGAAAAATATGGGTGCCCATGTAGCCTCCTGGAAGCACCTGTATGACTTTTCTAGAAGCGAGGTTCCTGGATAAAGATGAATTTTTAAAAGCTGGAATGAATGAGCAGCAATAGCAGGAGGAGAAAAGTGAGTGAGGGCTCTCCAAGAAGCCATCTGGCAGGCTAAGGGTTCTGAGGGAAGCTCTGGTTTCAGAAGCAACTCAGGAATTACTTCTGTCATATTAGGATGGGATGGTAGGAGATTGGGAACTCTAGGGACTAGAGGTCATTTAATTTCCTGTCTACAATCCTTAGAAGAGGTTTTGAGACTTGCAACCTAGGACCTTAACTAATCATCTTCCCTCAGAATTGATAGAATTCTTTATTATACATGTTAATATCAGATTAGTCAGGATGGGCTAGATTATGCTGTGTTAACAGCCATTCTCTAAATCTCTGTGGCTCAACAGGGAGCTCTGCCTGTCATGGTCACTTGGGACCCAGGCTTTGGGTATAAGGCTACAGCACATGGAAAACGTATGAATGTCTCTCAGATTCTTAAAGCTTCTGCTGGAAGTGACATGTCATTCTGCTCACAGTTCATTGGCTAAATGAGTCACGTGGCTCTCTCTAACTTCAAGGATGGTATGAAATTGCAATCCTACCATGTTTCTAGAAGGAGAACCAGCCCTAATCACAATGCTACATGTTTATAGCTTGCCTTATAGAGTTTACTGTATTCTCCTGGTATAATTTTCTTACATGCTCAACTGGAGAGGAAGCTCTTAAATAGAAAAAAATCACAGTAAATTTCCTTTAAGAGATCTATTTTACAACTCTGGCATGATGGAGCACAATGGAGTCCTTAGTAATGGACTCCATCTCTTCCATCAGATCAAATCTTGAGAACTGAAGTTAAAATTTGAATAATGAAACCAAAGGAAAAAAATTAAATGAATTTTAAGACAATTGAGATAAGAAGAACTGTGGCATCAGCATAATTCAATTTAATAATGTATTAAATATTTTGCAGAAAAGTGAAAAGAAATTGATAGCCAAATCAATGCAGCATTAAGTCACCATTTGGTCTAATTTCTTGCTGAATTGACAAAACAAAACACTAGTTTAGTTATATAAACATGGCTGATGTTTATACAAACAACAGAATTTGCTGGTAGCATTATCACTGGAAAATAAGATGTGTACTTAATTCTTGTATGTTCTGAGCCCATCTAGGAAGAACATAAAAGACGAAGAACAAAGCAATCACAGGATGTTATCATGAAAATATCACTTTTGGCTGGAGTAAAGTTTTGGCTAAATGTGGCACTAGTATTTATTACAGCTCACCTTTTTATAATGAAAGGCTATGGACTGAACATTCTTATTATTTCCCATTTTCTTACCACTCTATCCCAATACACATGCACATGCATGCACACGTGCACACACACTGGCACCCACACCCATGCATGTGGGACACACAGAGCAGCCCAGGCGATTTCAATTGTTGGGAGCTTTGCTTTTATTAGGTATTAGTCTATGGACTCGCTTTCTCTTTAGAGAGACTAAGTGAAACCAAACTCATTTCTACCCAGTTAGCCTGCTGGAACCTGTAACAGTTACTGTAATGTTAAAAGCAGTAAAACAAAATAAAAACCAGTCAGTTCACTTACTCCCGAAGTCCGCAGTTTGGTGTTCAGCTTTAAAACGTGCTCTGGGCGTCCTGTGGTGGCTACCAGAGGCTTTGGTGAGTCATTGTCAACCCAGTGGCTAGAGAAGTGCTGGAATGCCCCTCTTAAATACAGAACCACGTTTGTCCTTCAGAATGGCTGCTTGAACGAATTTATTGCTCAACTTGAAAGGCCATTTTTTATAACCCACTGCAGTTGTGCTTCATGGGTTTCTCCACCTATCCTGTGAAGTGTATTGGGAAATTAATTTTGTAGATTTCCTCACACTGCAGTGACTAGGGAAATCACCCATTCGTTATTATCTAATGAGGAGAAAGTGGAAACATCTAGAAGCACTGCTCCCATCCTCCTCCCCAGCCCACACAGACACCTACCTCAGGCCCTCCCTGTCCCAGGTGAGCAGAGGGCCCCACCTTCAGAGGTTGCCTCCCTTCCACCTTCACCAATCCTATGACCAGATTATCCCCAAGGAAATGTCAATTTCCAGGCAGCAAGGGAATCATATAAAGATAAGATCATTGAGAGATTTTTTTCCTCCGTGATTGGCAGTTTATATTTTCTTGGGTCTACAAATCTGACAGCATTTATTAAATTTTCTAGTTTGATACTGACCTCTGTCTGATGCTGGGCTGTCACCATGCCCAAGACTGAGGGGACCCACAGTCTAGCTAGAAGGCATGGATCAATTCCAACTGTCCTACCCCTAGCCTGTGGGCAGGAGAAATCTCTCAGGCTCTGGCAGAGGAGTCCCAGGGGCAGGATGCATGATCTTCCACTGTGCCTCCCAGCCATGCTGAGCAGCAAAGCAGACCATGAGCACGTCTCCCTTAAATTCATTTGCTTGATTTGTCCTTGAGTGTCCTTGGATGGGTTTGTTCCCTCCTTGTCCAGTATGTCTTGGTCATCCTGATTCCTGGGCTTGGCTCCCAGGTTGATTCTTTCCCTGACACAAAACAGGCACTATGGGCAAAGACACCTGCAGCCTTAGAGAGACCAGAGATGCTGGATGTTTCCTGTTAGCACTCAGGAAAGCTCAGAGCCTTTGATGAGCATCTTTTGATCCATTAGTTAAAACCACACTGGGTTCTTTATACTGGTTAGTTAGCTCTGGGCTATGGATTGTGGCAGACATTTATTTCTTCTTTGGATTCACCTGGATTTTCTGCAATGGACATGTATCGATAAAATACATGGTGCTTTTCAGAAATTGCCCCATCATCATGTTGCTGTTGTTGTTATTGATATTGTTGTTTCTGATGGATAGAGATCTAGGCCTGACACTCCAAGAAGTGTGAACAGCATTTACCTTGATAAGCATTCCTACATCTTAACCCTTGGGAATTTTAAATAGAAGTGTTCCGTGTGATTAAATTAACAGGTTTAGAGATGGGTGTCCTGGTTATTTCCTTTATTCTCCTCCTGGTAGCTGCCTGCACTCACAGCATGTTGGGAATGGTGATTATAAATGTAACCATGCTCTCTTCTTGTAAGTGGAGAGCCCAGGTACCTCTTATCCAGCATGTGACCCTCTTTCTACCTCAGGATAGTCATACTCTTAGGCTTCCTGGATTTATTCAGGGGCCAAAGGAGTGGTCAAGGTCCTTTTTGTTTTGCCCTACTCCCTTTGGAAAACATTTAGTTTATGCCCATGTTACAGATTGCAAAATACAGGCACATATTCTCACTAATGTGGTCTGCATGTCCCTTTGCAAGGACATGCAATGTGACTTCACTACTCCTTTCATCAAGAAAAGGAGCCTCTTGGCCAGGCACGGTGGCTCACGCCTGTAATCCCAGCACTTTGAGAGGCCAAGGCAGGTGGATCACGAGGTCAGGAGATGGAGACCTCCTGGCTAACACAGTGAAACACAGTCTCTACTAAAAAATACAAAAAAAAAAAAAATTAGCCAGGCGTGGTGGCAGGTGCCTGTAGTCTCAGCTACTTGGGAGCCTGAGGCAGGAGAATGGCATGAACCCAGGAGGCAGAGCTTGCAGTGAGCCTAGATCGTGCCACTGCACTCCAGCCTGGGCAACAGAGCGAGATTCTGACTCAAACAAAAAAAAAAAAAAAAAAAAAAGAAAAGAAAAGGAGCCTCTTTACCCTAATCTGGGCAAGCCTTGCAACCTGATTTGCCAAAAAAATATGAAGGAAGCAATGTGATGTGATTTTCCAGGCTAGAATGTAAGAAGCCTTGGAGCTTCTGCTTTTACTGTCTTCAGATGCTGCCTGAAACCACTGTAAGAAGCTCTAACCTACTGGAGGATAAGGGGTGAGCCCAAGAGCATCAAGGCTCCCATCAACAGCCAGTCCTGTGAGTGAGGCCATCTTGGACCTGCCAGCTCAGTAAACCCTTTTGCTGAACACAGCCCAAGGAAGGAACCCTTGCAAAATGAAATCATGTGGTCAGTTTGCGGGGTGGTTATTACACAGCAGTAGATGATTGAAAAGGCCCAGTGTCTTCCTGGGGACTGAAACACCCACCTCCTGTTCATGTTGATACACGGTGAGCAGAATATGGATGTGGGAGTGGTGTTGGTTGCAGGTGAGGTAGAGAAGCAGTGAACAGAGCACGAAGACCTTATGTTCCAGGGTCGGGAGTTTAGACTTGATCCTAACAGCAGCCATAGGCGGATTTAGGCAAGAGAGTAACGTGGTCAGATTTTCATTTTAGAAAGTTACTCTGACATCCATGTGGAGAATGAACTTGAAGGTCACAAGGCTGATGGAGCCAGGAAGACCATTTGGGAGGTGATTGTAGTAATCTACTTAAGAGTTCATTACGAGCTGGGGAATGGGGAGGTGTTAGAGAAGAGAAAATGGATTTGAAGAGCTGAGGGATGTTAAAAAGGCAAAAGTGGGCCAGGGATGGTGGCTCATGCCTGTAATCCCAGCACTTTGGGAGGCCAAGGTGGGCAGATCATGAGGTCAAGAGATTGAGATCATCTGGGCCAATATGGTGAAATCCCCTCTCTACTAAAAATACAAAAATTATCTGGATGTAGTGGCACACACCTATAATCCCAGCTACTTGGGAAGCTGAGGCAGGAGAATCGCTTGAACCCAGGCAGCGGAGGTTGCAGTGAGCTGAGATTGCACCACCGCACAGCAGCCTGGTGACAGAGCAAGACTCCGTTTAAAAAAAAAAAAAAAAAGGAAAATTGTTGGGACTTGCAATTAATTGGGTGAGGAAACTGAGTGGCAAATGGTCTCAGCTCTACACATGGAGAGCCCTGGGGACATAGGGAGAGCACATTTGGAAGGAAAGATGATGATTTTAGTTCTTAAAATTTTGTTTGTGGAGAAGGCATTCAGACAGAGAATTCTGTTGGGCAGTTTTATGTAGAGAACTACATCTAAAGAGGTCAGAAGTGAACTTCAATAAAATTGAGGTGACCAATGATCATCAGTTTTAAAGAGGACATATTTTCTTTTTCTGTTAAAGGGAACACACCTATGAGTCAGAAAGCCAGGCTTTTATTTTTTCTCGCCAAAGTTATTGTACAACCTACAGAAGAGAGTGTAAACACTGGTCTTTAAGATGAATTGTAAAGCTCTAAAGAGAATAAGAAAAATTGTGTTTCATGATTTATGATGGATAACATTTTAGAGTTGATTTCATAAGAGAATTCATTAAGCCAATAGACAACCATGGCATTTTAACTGTAGTGTTTAAGTATCTTTAGCTCTGATTTTTTAATTAGCAGAAGCAAATAAAGAGAGCTTCGTTTTAACCATGAGAAATCTCTCTTCTGTACTTCATGTGACTAAATTTGTCCAGATGCTGCCGTTCAAATAATCACAGCGATTGCCAACATAATGGTTAATTTCCTGAGAAGTAAGTTCATGCTTTGCCTCAGTTTGCTCCCCTGTAAGATCAGACAGAAAAATAAGAATAAAACCGACTAATAGGTATTGATTGCCTCTGGAACAGCTATCAATATAAAGAGCCAGACAAAACGCATAATAAAGAATTGTGTTAGTGCCAGAGAGACTTTAGAGATCATTTGCCCATCTCTTTACCTTCTCCCACTTCTTTCTGTCCCTCCACCCCCCAGCTCTGATACAGACACACGGGATATTAGTAAAGGATAGTATTTGTTGAGAGCCTTTTGCGTGTCAGGCACTGCTTCTAAACATTGTATAATACCAGCTCATTCAATCTTCAAATCAATGCTATACAGTAGGTACTCTTCTTCTTTTTTTTTTTTTAAATTTTACAGCTGAGGGACTGAGGTATGGAGAGGTTAGGTCACTTGTTCAAGGACACCAAGCCAGTCAGGGTGCCACTGGACCTAAGACAAGGTAACCTGGCTCTGAGACCAACCCCACAGAGAAGTATGTGGATGCTGACAACACTGTAGGAAGTTACAAGGAGCAAAAGAATAGCAGCCTCAGCCCTGAATTCCACTGTAAGCTTCCCTCTAATCTTCCCTGCCTCACTCTCAATCAAATAAAGAGCTGATCAGGAAGCAACTATGCACGGTCTTCCCCTCCACACCTCCAGCCCCAGCTCCCTTCCCCAGACTCAGTGCCAGCCTGTGCCAGCCCCCAAGATGGCAGTGTGGAGCCATGCACTAGGTCTGCTGCGCACCCAGCAGTCGGCTGTGGGTTCTTTGCATCTGTCAGAGTCCTGGCAGGAAATGGTTTCATTCTCAAAGGGTTAACTAGGAAGAATTTAGTGAAGGGTCTGTTTACAAGGTTCAGGAACTAACTGAAAATGGTGAAGCCCCCAGGGACTGGCACTGGAGCTTCCCCACAGGAGCTGAGGCCAGAGAAGTATACATCCATTGTTGTTTTAAAGAGTGGTTAACTATCTATTTGCTCTTACTTCCAACATTTCTGCTGGGGCCTTGCATTGAGCAAACTCAACTGTAATCTAGAGAGGAGGGACTCCTGAGTGGCACATTCAGTGGGAGTCAGCTTCCTAGGGAATCATTTATTTATTTATTATTTATTTATGAGACAGAGTCTCACTCTGTAGCCCAGGCTGGAGTGCAGTGATGCGATCTTGGCTCACTGCAACTTCTGCCTCCCGGGTCCCTGTTCAAGCAATTCTCCTGCCTCAGCCTCCTGAGTAGCTGGGATTACAGGCATGTGCCACCATGCCCAGCTAATTTTTGTATTTTTAGTAGAGACGGGGTTTCACCATGTTGGCCAAGCTGGTCTTGAACTCCTGACCTTGTGATCTGACTGCCTCGGACTCCCAAATTGCTGGGATTATAGGCGTGAGCCACTGAGCCCTGCCTTCCTAGGGAATCTTGTAGGAAGGACAAAGGTAGAGAATCTGTCTGATGGCAGAAGCAAATGAATGCCCATCACATGCACTTTCCTCCAACAGAGCAACTCGGATGCTATGAAACAATGCTAAGTGAGTCTCAGTGTCTGTTGCAGTAATATTGTACATACTGTAGGTCTTAATCATAGGAAATTACATGCCCATTGCCCTGTGCGCGGACCGGAGCACACTTATGGGGGGCCCGTAGTCCTCCTTTCAGACATCTTTTGTTTCTCTGCCCAAACAAGTGGCCTTCCCATAGAAGACTGCCCAGAGAACCCTATGGCAACCCTACCCTCTTATTCCACTTTATTTTTCTTCAAAGTGTTTATTACTCCCTGTTGTTATGTTAGACTCTATATTTCTGTATTTGCTGTCCTCCAACTTGAAAAGAACCTCTGAGAGGGGAGGGACTTTCCTGGTCACATTCACTTGTCCCAGCACCTACGATGGTGCCTGACATATCTCAGGGGCTCCTTAAATATGTATTGCTTGACAATGGGTATCATGGCTCAGCCTCCTCTGGGGTTAGGAGGCTGGAGGAAAGAAACTTTAGCATGAGTGCAGTGAGAGTAAAAGAATCCAGCAGCTCTAATCAGGGAATGAATCTGGTGTGTAATAGGATCTCAAGGCTTGACTCCTAGTCTAAGACCATTTCTGGAGTTTGCTGACTTGATCCCCATGCTTCATCATTAGCACTTTGCAGGGAAGGAGCTGAGCGTGGATCTTGACTCCGAATTGGCTGGGGCAGGCAAAATCGGGGGCACGCTTGGTGTTGCCCAGGCTCCGCTCTGCCTAGACACACGTGAGGGCCAAGATCTGGTTTGTGTTTCATGAGCTCTCCCAGGATGAAGACCCAGCCAGGCTGTCTGAAGAAGGGGTGTTCTTGAGTAGGAGGGAAGGTCTGCTCCAATACGAAAAATCTAACAATAGCATAGTCCTTAAGAGCTTGAGCTTTGAAGAGGGAGAACAGACCCATTTAAGGCACG
The DNA here is from genome assembly GCF_000001405.40 of Homo sapiens. Classification (NCBI taxonomy): domain Eukaryota; kingdom Metazoa; phylum Chordata; class Mammalia; order Primates; family Hominidae; genus Homo; species Homo sapiens. The sequence continues at coordinate 243,009,297 of NC_000001.11, read as the reverse complement.
AAAAATAAAGGAAACTCTTGAGTCCCTCCAAGGAAAATTCCAGCCACCTGGCTAGCCTCAAGAAGTAGATGAGCACCCTGATAAGTAAGAAGGTAATAATAGCTTAAAACAATAGTCAAGAAAATTAGAGCCACGAACTAATCTTAAATGACGAGTTAATGGGTGCAGCACACCAACATGGTACATGTATACATACGTAACAGACCTGCACGTTGTGCACATGTACCTAAAACTTAAAGTATAATTAAAAAAAAAGAAAATTAGAGCCACAAAATGTTTGTTTCCCTATAGAAACTAGAGATAACATCTTAACATATGTCCCTGAGTTGTTTTGTAGAAATCCAGACCCCGCTAAATGGAAAATACCACCTGTTGGCTCGTAGATCTCAGATAAGGAGGAACTGAGGACTGAACTCTCACAACTGTTCTTTGTTCTAAATTTCTTTCTGAGGGACCTGGAGGAAGTCACACCCACAGGCCAGAGCAGAACATTCCTTTCTGCTGACCCCAAGTTTGTAGCCAAAACTTAAACAATCACAAATCAGAAAATCTTTGGGTTTTTGTTTGTTTGTTTGAGACAGAGTCTCACTCTGCTGCCCAGGCTGGAGTGCAGTGGCACGATCTCAACTCACTGAACCCTCTGCCTCCCAGGTTCAAACGATTCTCATGCTTCAGCCTCCTGAGTAGCTGGGATTACAGGTGCACACCACCACGCCCAGATAATTTTTGTATTTTTAGTAGAGATGGTGTTTTGCCATGTTGGTCTGGCTGGTCTCAAACTCCTGGCCTCAAGTTATCCACCCACCTTGGCCTCCCAAAGCGCTGAGATTACAGGTATGAACCACTGCACCTGGTCTCAAATCAGAAAATCTTTGAATTCATCTAATGTTCACCTATCCTGTGGGCCCTCACTTTGAGATATTTTGCCTTTTTTGGCCAAACCAATATGTAGCCTCCATGTATTGTATGACCTTGCCTGCAACCTCTGCCTTCCCACCTTTAAAAACCCTTACACATAAGCCATCAGGGAGATTAGGCCTTAAGGATTAGCTGCCTGATACTCCTTGCTTGCTGCCTGCAATAAATTCCTCAACTTCTGTCTCAGCAATGCCGATATCAGTGCTTGACTTTGATAGGCTGGGTGGGTGGACCCGAATTTGGTTTGGTGACCCTTTGAGCTTAGATTCAAAATTCTAGTTTTGTCACTCTGCAGTTTTGTGATCTTGAGCAAGTTACTTAACCTCTCTGAGCCTTGTCTGTCATGTGTAATGAAAAGAGCTATACTTACCTTGTGAGGTAGTCCTCAGGATTCAGTGAGATAATAAGTACTCACTAAACAAAACTCGTTATTACAAAAGAATCACTTTGTCTCTGAAGTGGGCAATTCAACCCATTTCTAGGAGATTTTAAACTTGATTTTAGATATTTGGTGTGATTTTGTGAATGGGTTTATCGTTAATAGCTTTCATGCTCCAGAATTTTCTTGAATAATAGGTTTTTGCAAAGTGCATTCCGTGGAATACTCATTTGGGTGACGTTAATAGACATCACTCAAAAGCTGGGTGAATATTACAATGTTTACTTCATCTGTAACAAGCTGAGTAGCTACAGTACATATCTAAGAGGGGGCTCTAATTCTCAATATTTTCCAGATTTATTAGATCACAGACTTTTCTTTTAGTGAAGTGCTTAATGAAACTTAAGTTCTGTGAAAAGTACTTTGAGAAATATTGCTTTAAAAAGAAAAAGATTGAGCCCTGTATCAGGGGAATTATCTAATATTATATTAAACAAAAAAGTCCCACTGAAGAAAATCATCTTATTGTTCATAGACCTTAGTTTAGGTATTGGGGCCAAAGGATGGATGACCATTTCAAATGATCCAGGCTAAACCAGCCTGGAGGAGAGCTCAAAGTCTGATCTGGTGAGTAAGTTGTGAAGGGAATATGATGAAAAAGTGCACTTCTATTGCAAAGAAATCACGAGCTAGGTTTATACGCTATGCTGTGAATGGCCAATAGATCATAAATTCAACAGTCTCCCTGTCACAGCTATGGTAATGATGACTGTTTAGGCCTTAGGGGAGCTTTAGGGAGAGGCAATTTCATACTTAAGTCACACTGACTTAAAAAGTGAAATATTTGAAATCATTGTTGAAATCACGTGGAGGTCGTCAGCAAGCAGGTGAGGTTGGAATGCCTATCATTTTCCTCAAGCTCACGTCCTCTCATTTTCTTATTTGAAAATCTATTTGGCTCAGAAAGTACACCTAGGGTTAGTCAAAAATCACCTCCTGATGTTCCTTTTAAAGGAAGCTTCCAAGTTATTTGAATAGCTTCCAAGTTATTCATCGAGAAACAAAGCAAATTCAAAGATTATGTCCGTAGGCACAAACTGGATTTTAAGAAATCCTGGCTGCATAAACAATTGTCTTATAGAAAAGAATTTCTGTTCCTCCTTTCCCTCCCCTTGTCAATCCTATTTCTTTCAGACCTGGGTTCAAACACTAGCTGTAGAGGCTATAAGCTATTGGAAGCACATTTGAGCCTGAAATAAACTGAACCTCTTCTGCCTTGGTTTTCTCACTTGTAAATGGGGATTTTTATGCCTACCTCAAAGGTACGTTGCAAGGATAGAGGGACAGAAAGTTCAGCAAGTGGCCAATGAATAGAAGTCTGGTTTTCTGAGCATCCTTGCAGCTGCAGGCTTCAGTCTACCAGAGAATGTGAGGTGTTATTCTTCTAGGGCAGTGGTTAGAAAAGAAAATGAAAGTAGCAGTACTCTTTTCCTAATTCAACCATAGATGGATGACCAGAATTTGTAATCCATAAGGTAGAAGCTGCTGTGCCTGAGGAAATAGAAAGTGGGCAGAGGTGGAGGGGCAAGGTAGGGAGTGGAGTGGAAGGTAGGGAGAGTTTGATCCTAGCCTGCACTGCTCCTCAGAGGTACTTTAGCCCCTTTGGAACAGTATTAGAAAATCATGGCTCTATCAACTCATGTCTGAAAATCAATTGCTATTTCAGAGCAGGAGGTGACCAATCTTGGAAATAAGGAAGGGAGAGAGGCAGCCAAGCCAGCAGCTCCTGGAGCCAGCTCTTGGAAGTTCCCCAGGAGCTGTCCAGTCTTATGTCATGTCTAGTCAGCAGAGTCCCAAAGAAGCTTGTCATTCTCTAGGCATTTGTGCTTACATTCTGATGGGCCTGATAGCAGGGAGATGACATGGAGCCCAGGCAGAACAGCTGAGATTTCTACTGGTCATGACCTCCATCTTCTCCTTCATACCTTTCCTACCTTTCTTTTTCCATGCATTCAACAGACATTTATTACCCAATAAGTGCCAGATAGTAAGCCAGGACCTGGGGAGAGCAGATGAGTAAGACACCGTCTCTGTCTCTCAGGAACTCTCAGATTCTTAGGGACACATGTACATCCTAATAAACACAGTGCATCTCATGAATGTGTAAGTTTAAATTATTGATATAGGCACACACAGACAGAGGGACTTCATTCCCTGCAGGTTCTGTAGTATTTCATGCCCTTGCTGCTCACATCATCCTGCCTTCAAGGAATTTGGGGGGATGGTAGACTGAAAGTGGCCCTTTCTGCATAATTCTTCTTGAAAATAAACATTTGATCTCTTCTTAGAGGCTGACTATACTGAGAGCTACCACTCCTTGGCTGCTTATTAGCCATTGGGTTATTGCTAAGCCCTTTACATATGTTATATCATTTAATTGTATTGAATCTTCACCATAACACTTCAATGGAAATATTTTTCCAAATAAGGAAAGGTGAGACTCAAAGTAGTTGTATTAGTCTGCATTGCTATGAAGAACTACCTGAAACCGGGTAACTTATAAAGAAAAGAGGTGGGCCAGGCGCGGTGGCTCATGCCTATAATCCTAGCACTTTGGGAGGCCGAAGTGGGCAGACCACGAGGTCGGGAGTTAGAGACCAGCCTGGCCAACGTGGTGAAACCCCGTGTCTACTAAACACACACACACACACACAAATTAGTTGGGTGTGGTGGTGCACACCTGTAATCCTAGCTACTCAGGAGGCTGAGGCAGGAGGATTGCTTGAACCCTGGAGGTGGAGGTTGCAGTGAGCCAAGATCACACCACTGCACTCCAGCCTGAGTGACAGAGCGAGACTCCATCTCAAAAAAAAAAAAAAAAAAGAAAGATGTTTAATTGACTCTCAGTTCTACAGGCCATACAGGAAGCATGGCTTGGGAGGCCTCAGGAAACTGACAATCATGGCAGAAGGTGAAGGGGAAGGAGGCACGTCTTACTTGGCTGGAGAAGGAGGAAGAGAGCTAAAGCGGGAGTGCTGTACACTTTTAAACAACCAGATCTCATGAGCACTCTATGATGAGACAGCACTGGGGGATGGTGCCAAACCATTAGAAACCACCCCCATGATCCAATCACCTCCCATCAGGCTCCACCTCCAACACTGGGGATTACAATTCAACATGAGATTTGGGTGGGGACACAGAGCCAAACCATGTCAGTAGCAAAGAGATTTTCCCACACAGCTAAAAAAAAAAAAAAATGGCAGAATCTGGATGTGTGCTTAGGTTTGTCTGATTCCCGGTACACTCCCCTATGCCATTTCTGATCTGCAAAGAACCTGATCCCAAAGCCTGATCCCAATATGATCCTAGAGCCAAGAGATGAGGCGTGAAGTAGCCACCTACTTTGTGTGCTTTCAAATCAGATATGGCAAGATTCTTTGAAAAATCAGTCAACTGGATTAAGCAATGCCTAAGTATGAAAGGATCCTTAGAGGAACTAAACCATTTCTTCATTTTGCTCCATGTTCTTTCTGTGGCTCTACCAAGTTTGTAGGTTAAGAACAAGGCATCAAAGCTTACTGAGTTTTTCTTCGACACTGAATTGACTCGTTTTCTCAAGAACAGGGAGTCATTGCCCTAGTCTCATCTCATAACATTTACGTTTCTTTCTTTCAACTAATGGAGATGGTGCTCCCTGCTCTCTCTAGGAGACCGCAGGACCTAGATGATAACCTGCATCCCTAATCCTAAAGGGAGCCTAAGAGCAGTAATGATGGCCCTCTATTTGCAATAGATTACACTTTTCCCATATAAAGCTCTTAGAACTGTCACTGTGAATGATGTGCTGATTGGAGATAATGGTGACAATGATAATTTTATAATTGCACTTTGTACCTCTCATCTCCTCCTGGAATCACAAAAGAATTTGTACATATCCCTTACTCAAAATAGATCCATTAGTTAAACTATTATAAGATAAAAAGGCTACAGATAAAATGCTGCCCATTGAGGCCCAGAGGGGAGAGAGCCAAGTGGACTTAGAAATCCCCAGCCCAGTGCGGTGGCTTATGCTTGTAATCCCAGCACTTTGGGAGGCCAAGGCGGGCGGAATACCCTGAGGTCAGGAGTTTGAGACCAGCCTGGCCAACACGGTGAAACCGTGTCTCTACTAAAAATACAAAAATTAGCTGGGTGTGGTGGTGGGCGCCTGTAATCCCAGCTACTCAGGAGGCTGAGGCAGGAGAATCACTTGAACCCAGGAGGCGGAGGTTGCAGTGAGCAGAGATCATGCCACTGCACTCCAGCCTAGGCGACAGAGTGAGACTCTGTCTCAAAAAAAAAAAAAAAAAAATCCCCATATCACCATTCACTGTCCTTTTCTCCAGAAAATACCCCATTTCATATAACTGTCTAAACAACGGTTTAAGGTCTACACAAGATTGTGAAGTGAACCTGCAGGATTAGGAGGGTAAGGATTCCCACCTAGGTGGGCTCACTTGCTCTGCCATACCTGGGTAGGATCCCAGCCTGCTTCTGTGATTGTCAGGAGGCACCAAAAAGGCTACCCTAGGTTTTCTGTCATTCGGCCCAAACATTTCCTCTGCTGGGCAAATGTGGAAGAGGCATTAAGCTGGTGCTCTCACAACTGAAAGGAAAGCAATTCTCTTTCTGTTGTGGTTCCTTCCTCTTTGGACTCTTTTCTTCCATTCCAGCCTATCCCCTTCTTGGAAAAGCTATTCTACCAATAGCAGGGAAGAAACAGCCCTGTGTACCTGATATGCTACCCTGGGCACAGGCGATCGGACCAGGGATAGACACCTGAACTGATCTGGGCAGATGCCCTCTTCTGGCCATTGAGAATTGACAGCATCAGACATCTAGAACATAATAGTATTTTAAAATTCTGCAGGGACATCCACCAGGCTGAGGGGGACCAATTTTGTTTTAAACATGTATCCTGAACTTGGCCGGGCATGGTGGCTCATGCCTGTAATCGCAGCACTTTGAGAGGCCAAGGTGGGCAGATCACTTGAGGTCAGGAGTTTGAGACCAGCCTGGCCAACGTGGCGAAATCCTTTGTCTATTAAAAAATACAAAAACTAGCCAGGCGTGGTGGTGTGTACCTGTAATCCCAGCTGCTGGGAAGGCTGAGGTAGGAGAATTGCTTGGACTGGGGAGGTGGAGGTTGCAGTGAGGTGAGATCATGCCACTGCATTCCAGCCTGGCCAACAAGAGCAAAATTCTGTCTCAAAAAAAAAAGTATCCCAAACTTGGAAGTAAAAATAGGATGACTGCACGTCTTTCTAATGCCGTACTGGAAGGTTGCCTAACAAACCACCAAAGCTTTTTTTAACTCTCTAAGGGAATGTACTTTTGTTTGACTTACTATTTACTATTGATTAGGGCCCAGACTCTGCCAAGTTACATGTTAATTTTTGTCTGGTAGAGATACAAATGATTTTTGTCCTGTAAAAAGATTTTATTGCTCTACAGGACATTAACGAGTGAGGTTTCCAAATTAGCAAACTTATGTCAGCATGCTGTTTCTGATGGTCTATCCAAATCTTTCTCCTTCCAATTCTCTTTTCAAACAGCTTTACCATCCTCTGGTTCTTTCTTTTGTGAAGTAAACAGATCTTTATACGCACTCCCTATAGACTTATATAAGAATCATGTTTTCACTTTTTGAAAATG